>NC_000005.10:49890555-50059807 GCF_000001405.40 Homo sapiens
GATCACTGTTTTTGGAGAATCTGCAAGTGGATATTTGGAGCGCTTTGAGGCCTATGGTAGAAAAAGAAATATCTGCCTCTAAAAACCAGACAGAAGCATTCCGAGAAACTTCTTTGTGATGTTTGCATTCAACTAGCAGAGTTGAACCTTCCTTTTGATAGGGCAGTTTTGAAACACTCTTTTTGTAGAATCTGCATGTGGATATCTGGAGCGGTTTGAGGCCTACGGTCAAAAAGGAAATATCTTCCTGGGAAAAATAGACGAAAGCATTCTCAGAAACTGCTTTGTGATATGTGCATTCGACTCACCGAGTTGAAACTTTTTTTTGATAGAGCAGTTTTGAAACACTCTGTAGAATCTGAAAGTGGATAGTTGGAGCTCTTTGAGGGCTATGGCGGAAAAGAAAATATATTCACATTAAAGTAGACAGCAGCATTCTCAGAAACTTCTTTAGGATGTTTGTAGTAAACTCACAGAGTTGAACATACCTTTCCGTAGAGCAGTTTTGAAACACTCTGTTTGTGGTATCCGCAAGTGGATATTTGGACCGCTTTGAGACCTTTGCTGGAAATGGGAATATCTTCACATATAAACTAGACAGAAGCATTCTCAGAAACTTCTTCGTGATGTGTGCATTCTACTCCCGAATGTGAATCTTCCTTTTCATGAAGCAGTTTTGAAACACTCTGTTTGTGCAATCCACAATTGGATAATTGGAACGCTTTGATGCCCATGGTAGAAAAGGAAATATCTTCATATAAAAACTAGACAGAAGGATTCACAGAAAATGCTTTGTGATGTGTGCATTCAAATCATGGAGTTGAATCTTTCTTTTGTTAGAGCAGTTTTGAAACACTGTTTCTGTGGAATCTGCCAGTGGACACTTGGAGCGCTTTGAGGGCTATGGTGGAGAAGGAAATATCTTCCCATAAAAACTAGAAAGAAGCATTCTCAGAAACATTTATGTGAAGCGTGCATTCAACTCACAGAGTTGAACCTTCCTTTTGATACAACAGTTTTGAAACACTCTTTTGAACAATTGCAGGTGAATCTTTGGAGCGCTTTGAAGCCTTTGTTGCAAATGGGAATATCTTCACACACAAACTAGCCAGAAGCATTCTCAGAAACTTCTTTGTGATGTGTGCGTTGAACCCAGAGAGATGAACCTTTCCTTGGATAGAGCAGTTTTGAAACGTGTTTTTGTAAGATCTGCAAGCGGATAATTGGCTTCGCTTTGTGTCCTTTGGTGGAAACGGGAATATCTTCTAATAAAAACTAGACAGAAATATTCTCAGAATCTCCTTTGTGATATGGGCATTCAACTAACACAGTTGAACATTTCTTTTCACAGAGCAGTTTTGAAACACTCTTTTGGTAGAATCTGCCAGTGGATATTTGGAGCGCTTGGAGGGCTATTGTGCCAATGGAAATATCTGCCCCTGAAAACTAGACAGAAGCATTCTCAGAAACTGCTTTGGGATGTTTGCATTCAACTCACAGCAGTTGAACATACCTCTGCATAGAGCAGTTTTGAAAACCTCTTTTTGTAGAATCTGCAAGTGGATATTCGGACCACTTTGAGGCCTTCATAGGAAACAGTAATATCATCACATAAAAACTAGATAGAAACATTGTCAGAAAGTTCTTTGTGATGTGTGAATTCAACTCACAGAGTTGAACCTTCCTTTAATAGAGCAGTTTTGAAACACTCTTTTTCTAGAATCTGCCAGTAGATATTTGGAGCGCTTTGAGGCCTTCGTTGGAAACCGGAATATCTCCACATAAAAAGTAGATAGAGGCATTCTCAGAAACTTTTTTGTGATATGTAGATTCAACTTACAGCGTTGAACCTTTCTTTGGATGGAGCAGTTTTGAAAAACCCTTTTATCGAATCTGCAGGTAGACAATTGGGGTGCTTTGAGGGCTGTGGTGCAAAAGGAAATGTCTTCCCATAGAAACTAGACTGAAGCATTGTCAGCAACTTCTTGGTGACGTTTGCATTCATCTCACAGCGTTGAACATACCTTTCCATAGAGTGGTTTTGAAACACTGTTTTTGTAGAATCGGCAAGTGGATATTTGGACTGCTTTCAGGCCTTCATCAGAAACGGGAATATCTTCACATAAACACTAGAGAGAAGCATTCTCAGAAACTTCTTTGTGATCTGTCCATTCAACTCACAGAGTTGTACCTTCCTTTTTCTGGAGCAGTTTTGAAACACTCCTTTTGGAGAATCTGCAAGTGGATATTTGGAGCGCTTTGAGGCCTATGGTAGAAAAAGAAATATCTGCCTCTAAAAACCAGACAGAAGCATTCCGAGAAACTTCTTTGTGATGTTTGCATTCAACTAGCAGAGTGGAACCTTCCTTTTGATAGGGCAGTTTGGAAACACTCTTTTTGTAGAATCTGCATGTGGATATCTGGAGCGGTTTGAGGCCTACGGTCAAAAAGGAAATATCTTCCTGGGAAAAATAGACGAAAGCATTCTCAGAAAGTGCTTTGTGATATGTGCATTCGACTCACCGAGTTGAAACTTTTTTTTGATAGAGCAGTTTTGAAACACTCTGCAGAATCTGAAAGTGGATATTTGGAGCTCTTTGAGGGCTATGGCGGAAAAGAAAATATATTCACATTAAAGTAGACAGCAGCATTCTCAGAAACTTCTTTAGGATGTTTGCAGTAAACTCACAGAGTTGAACATACCTTTCCGTAGAGCAGTTTTGAAACACTCTGTTTGTGGGATCCGCAAGGGGATATTTGGACCGCTTTGAGACCTTTGCTGGAAATGGGAATATCTTCACGTATAAACTAGACAGAAGCATTCTCAGAAACTTCCTCGTGATGTGTGCATTCTTCTCCCGAATTTGAATCTTCCTTTTCATGAAGCAGTTTTGAAACACTCTGTTTGTGCAATCCACAATTGGATAATTGGAACGCTTTGATGCCCATGGTAGAAAACGAAATATCCTCATATAAAAATTAGACAGAAGGATTCAGAGAAAATGCTTTGTGATGTGTGCATTCAAATCACGGAGGTGAATCTTTGTTTTCTTAGAGCAGTTTTGAAACACTGTTTCTGTGGAATCTGCCAGCGGACACTTGGAGCGCTTTGAGGGCTATGGTGGAGAAGGAAATATCTTCACATAAAAACTAGAAAGAAGCATTCTCAGAAACATTTATGTGAAGCGTGCATTCAACTCACAGAGTTGAACCTTCCTTTTGATACAACAGTTTTGAAACACTCTTTTGAACAATTGCAGGTGAATCTTTGGAGCGCTTTGAAGCCTTTGTTGGAAATGGGAATATCTTCACACACAAACCAGCCAGAAACATTCTCAGAAACTTCTTTGTGATGTGTGCGTTGAACCCAGAGAGATGAACCTTTCCTTTGATAGAGCAGTTTTGAAACGTGTTTTTGTAAGATCGGCAAGCGGATAATTGGCTTCGCTTTGTGTCCTTTGGTGGAAACGCGAATATCTTCTAATAAAAACTAGACAGAAATATTCTCAGAATCTTCTTTGTGATGTGGGCATTCAACAAACACAGTTGAACATTTCTTTTCACAGAGCAGTTTTGAAACACTCTTTTGGTAGAATCTGCCAGTGGATATTTGGAGCGCTTTGAGGGCTATTGTGCCAATGGAAATATCTGCCCCTAAAAACTAGACAGAAGCATTCTCAGAATCTACTTCGTGATGTTTGCATTCAACACAGAGAGTTGAACATACCTCTTCACAGAGCAGTTTTGAAAACCTCTTTCTGTAGAATCTGCAAGTGGATATTCGGACCACTTTGAGGCCTTCATAGGAAACAGTAATATCTTCACATAAAAACTAGATAGAAGCATTGTCAGAAAGTTCTTTGTGATGTGTGAATTCAACTCACAGAGTTGAACCTTCCTTTAATAGAGCAGTTTTGAAACACTCTTTTTCTAGAATCTGCAAGTAGATATTTGGAGCGCTTTGAGGCCTTCGTTGGAAACCGGAACATCTTCACATAAAAAGTAGATAGAGGCATTCTCAGAAAATTTTGTGATATGTAGATTCATCTGACAGCGTTGAACCTTTCTTTTGATAGAGCAGTTTTCAAAAACTCTTTTGTCGAATCTGCAAGTAGACATTTGGAGTGCTTTGAGGGCTGTGGTGCCAAAGGAAATGTCTTCCCATAGAAACTAGAATGAAGCATTCTCAGCAACTTCTTTGTGACGTTTGCATTCATCTCACAGTGTTGAACATACCTTTCCATAGAGTAGTTTTGAAGCACTATTTTTGTAGAATCTGCCAGTGGATATTTGGACTGCTTTGAGGCCTTCATCGGAAACGGGAATATCTTCACATAAACACTAGACAGAAGCATTCTCAGAAACTTCTTGGTGATCTGTCCATTCAACTCACAGAGTTGAACCTTCCTTTTTATGGAGCAGTTTTGAAACATTGTTTTTGGAGGATCTGCAAGTGGATATTTAGAGCGCTTTGAGGCCTATGGTAGAAAACGAAATATCTGCCTATAACAACTAGACAGAAGCATTCTGAGAAACTTCTTTGTGATGTTTGCATTCAACTACCAGAGTTGAACCTTCCTTTTGATAGGGCAGTTTGGAAACACTCTTTTTGTAGAATCTGCATGTGGATATCTGGAGCGATTTGAGGCCTACGGTCCAAAAGGAAATATCTTCCTGGGAAAAATAGACGAAAGCATTCTCAGAAAGTGCTTTGTGATATGTGCATTCGACTCACCGAGTTGAAACTTTTTTTTGATAGAGCAGTTTTGAAACACTCTGTAGAATCTGAAAGTGGATATTTGGAGCTCTTTGAGGGCTATGGCGGCAAAGAAACTATATTCACATTAAAGTAGACAGCAGCATTCCCAGAAACTTCTTTAGGATGTTTGCAGTAAACTCACAGGAGTTGAACACACCTTTCCGTAGAGCAGCTTTGAAACACTCTGTGTGTGGGATCCGCAAGTGGATATTTGGACCGCTTTGAGACCTTTGCTGGAAACGGGAATATCTTCACATATAAACTGGACAGAAGCATTCTCAGAAACTTCTTCGTGATGTGTGCATTCTACTCCCAAATTTGAATTTTCCTTTTCATGAAGCAGTTTTGGAACACTCTATTTGTGCAATCTACAATTGGATAATTGGAACGCTTTGATGCCCATGGTAGAAAAGGAAATATCCTCATATAAAAACTAGACAGAAGGATTCACAGAAAATGCTTTGTGATGTGTGCATTCAAATCATGCAGTTGAATCTTTCTTTTGTTAGAGCAGTTTTGAAACACTGTTTCTGTGGAATCTGCCAGCGGACACTTGGAGCGCTTTGAGGGCTATGGTGGAGAAGGAAATATCTTCACATAAAAACTAGAAAGAAGCATTCTGAGAACCATTTATGTGAAGCGTGCGTTCCACTCACAGAGTTGAACCTTCCTTTTGATAGAACAGTTTTGAAACACTCTTTTGAACAATTGCAGGTGAATATTTGGAGGGCTTTTAAGCCTTTGTTGGAAATGGGAATATCTTCACACACAAACTAGCCAGAAGCATTCTCAGAAACTTCTTTGTGATGTGTGCGTTAAACCCAGAGAGATGAACCTTTCCTTTGATAGAGCAGTTTTGAAACGTGTTTTTGTAATATCGGCAAGCGGATAATTGGCTTCGCTTTGTGTCCTTTGGTGGAAACGGGAATATCTTCTAATAAAAACTAGACAGAAATATTCTCAGAATCTTCTTTGTGATGTGGGCATTCAACAAACACAGTTGAACATTTCTTTTCACAGAGCAGTTTTGAAACACTCTTTTGGTAGAATCTGCCAGTGGATATTTGGAGCGCTTTGAAGGCTATTGTGCCAATGGAAATATCTTCCCCTAAAAACTAGACAGAAGCATTCTCAGAAACTACTTCATGATGTTTGCATTCAACACACACAGTTGAACATACCTCTTCACAGAGCAGTTTTGAAAACCTCTTTCTGTAGAATCTGTAAGTGGATATTGGGACCACTTTGAGGCCTTCATAGGAAACAGTAATATCTTCACATAAAAACTAGATGGAAGCATTCTCAGAAAGTTCTTTGTGATGTGTGAATTCAACTCACAGAGTTGAACCTTCCTTCAATAGAGCAGTTTTGAAACACTCTTTTTCTAGAATCTGCAAGTAGATATTTGGAGCGCGTTGAGGCCTTCGTTGGAAACCGGAATATCTTCACAGGAAAAGTAGATAGAGGCATTCTCAGAAACTTTTTTGTGATATGTAGATTCAACTCACAGCGTTGAACCTTTCTTTGGATGGAGCAGTTTTGAAAAACCCTTTTATCGAATCTGCAGGTAGACATTCGGGGTGCTTTGAGGGCTGTGGTGCAAAAGGAAATGTCTTCCCATAGAAACTAGACTGAAGCATTCTCAGCAACTTCTTGGTGACGTTTGCATTCATCTCACAGTGTTGAACATACCTTTCCATAGAGTGATTTTGAAACACTGTTTTTGTAGAATCGGCAAGTGGATATTTGGACTGCTTTGAGGCCTTCATCGGAAACGGGAATATCTTCACATAAACACTACAGAGAAGCAATCTCAGAAACTTCTTTGTGGTCTGTCCATTCAAATCACAGAGTTGAACCTTCCTTTTTATGGAGCAGTTTTGGAACCCTGTTTTTGGAGAATCTGCAAGTGGATATTTGGAGCGCTTTGAGGCCTATGGTAGAAAAAGAAATATCTGCCTATGACAACTAGACAGAAGCATTCTGAGAAACTTCTTTGTGATGTTTGCATTCAACTACCAGAGGTGAACCTTCCTTTTGATAGGGCAGTTTGGAAACACTCTTTTTGCAGAATCTGCATGTGGATATCTGGAGCGATTTGAGGCCTACGGTCCAAAAGGAAATATCTTCCTGGGAAAAATAGACGAAAGCATTCTCAGAAACTGCTTTGTGATATGTGCATTCGACTCACCGAGTTGAAACTTTTTTTGGATAGAGCAGTTTTGAAACACTCTGTAGAATCTGAAAGTGGATATTTGGAGCTACTTTGAGGGCTATGGCGGAAAAGAAAATATATTCACATTAAACTAGACAGCAGCATTCCCAGAAACTTCTTTAGGATGTTTGCAGTAAACTCACAGAGTTGAACATACCTTTCCGTAGAGCAGCTTTGAAACACTCTGTGTGTGGGATCCGCAAGTGGATATTTGGACCGCTTTGAGACCTTTGCTGGAAATGGGAATATCTTCACATATAAACTGGACAGAAGCATTCTCAGAAACTTCTTCGTGATGTGTGCATTCTCCTCCCGAATTTGAATCTTCCTTTTCATGAAGCAGTTTTGAAACACTCTGTTTGTGCAGTCCACAATTGGATAATTGGAACGCTTTGATGTCCAAGGTAGAAAAGGAAATATCCTCATATAAAAACTAGACAGAAGGATTCACAGAAAATGCTTTGTGATGTGTGCATTCAAATCACGGAGTTGAATCTTTCTTTTGTTAGAGCAGTTTTGAAACACTGTTTCTGTGGAATATGCCAGCGGACACTTGGAGCGCTTTGAGGGCTACGGTGGAGAAGGAAATATCTTCACATAAAAACTAGAAAGAAGCATTCTCAGAACCATTTATGTGAAGCGTGCATTCAACTCACAGAGTTGAACCTTCCTTTTGATAGAACAGTTTTGAAACACTCTTTTGAACAATTGCAGGTGAATATTTGGAGGGCTTTGAAGCCTTTGTTGGAAACGGGAATATCTTCACACACGAACTAGCCAGAAGCATTCTCAGAAACTTCTTTGTGATGTGTGCGTTGAACCCAGAGAGATGAACCTTTCCTTTGATAGAGCAGTTTTGAAGCGTGTTTTTGTAAGATCGGCAAGCGGATAATTGGCTTCGCTTTGTGTCCCTTGGTGGAAACGGGAATATCTTCTAATAAAAACTAGACAGAGATATTCTCAGAAACTTCTTTGTGATGTGGGCATTCAACTGACACAGTCGAACATTTCTTTTCACAGAGCAGTTTTGAAACACTCTTTTGGTCGAATCTGCCAGTGGATATTTGGAGCGCTTTGAGGGCTATTGTGCCAATGGAAATATCTGCCCCTAAAAACTAGACAGAAGCATTCTCAGAAACTGCTTCGGGATGTTTGCATTCAACTCACAGAGTTGAATATACCTCTGCATAGAGCAGTTTTGAAAACCTCTTTTTGTAGAATCTGCATGTGGATATTCGGACCACTTTGAGGCCTTCATGGGAAACAGTAATATCTTCACATAAAAACTAGATAGAAGCATTGTCAGAAAGTTCTTTGTGATGTGTGAATTCAACTCACAGAGTTGAACCTTCCTTTAATAGAGCAGTTTTGAAACACTCTTTTTCTAGAATCTGCAAGTAGATATTTGGAGCGCTTTGAGGCCTTCGTTGGAAACCGGAATATCTTCACAGGAAAAGAAGATAGAGGCATTCTCAGAAACTTTTTTGTGATATGTAGATTCAACTCACAGCGTTGAACCTTTCTTTGGATGGAGCAGTTTTGAAAAACTCTTTTATCGAATCTGCAGGTAGACATTTGGGGTGCTTTGAGGGCTGTGGTGCAAAAGAAAATGTCTTCCCATAGAAACTAGACTGAAGCATTCTCAGCAACTTCTTTGTGACGTTTGCATTCATCTCACAGTGTTGAACATACCTTTCCATAGAGTAGTTTTCAGACACTATTTTTGTAGAATCTGCAAGCGGATATTTGGACTGCTTTGAGGCCTTCATCGGAGACGGGAATATCTTCACATAAACACTAGGCAGAAGCATTCTCAGAAACTTCTTTGTGATCTGTCCATTCAACTCACAGAGTTGAACCTTCCTTTTTATGGAGCAGTTTTGAATCACTGTTTTTGGGGAATCTGCAAGTGGATATTTCGAGCGCTTTGAGGCCTATGGTAGAAAAAGAAATATCTGCCTCTAAAAACCAGACAGAAGCATTCCGAGAAACTTCTCTGTGATGTTTGCATTCAACTAGCAGAGTTGAACCTTCCTCTTGATAGGGCAGTTTGGAAACACTCTTTTTGTAGAATCTGCATGTGGATATCTGGAGCGGTTTGAGGCCTACGGTCAAAAAGGAAATATCTTCCTGGGAAAAATAGACGAAAGCATTCTCAGAAACTGCTTTGTGACATGTGCATTCGACTCACCGTGTTGAAACTGTTTTTCGATAGAGCAGTTTTGAAACACTCTGTAGAATCTGAAAGTGGATATTTGGAGCTCTTTGAGGGCTATGGCGGAAAAGAAAATATATTCACATTAAAGTAGACAGCAGCATTCTCAGAAACTTCTTTAGGATGTTTGCAGTAAACTCACAGAGTTGAACATACCTTTCCGTTAAGCAGTTTTGAAACACTCTGTTTGTGGGATCCGCAAGTGGATATTTGGACCGCTTTGAGACCTTTGCTGGAAATGGGAATATCTTCACATATAAACTAGACAGAAGCATTCTCAGAAACTTCTTCGTGATGTGTGCATTCTACTCCCGAATTTGAATCTTCCTTTTCATGAAGCAGTTTTGAAACACTCTGTTTGTGCAATCCACAATTGGATAATTGGAACGCTTTGATACCCATGGTAGAAAAGGAAATAGCCTCATATAAAAACTAGACAGAAGGATTCACAGAAAATGCTTTGTGATGTGTGCATTCAAATCACGCAGTTGAATCTTTCTTTTGTTAGAGCAGTTTTGAAACACTGTTTCTGTGGAATCTGCCAGCGGACACTTGGAGCGCTTTGAGGGCTATGGTGGAGAAGGAAACATCTTCCCATAAAAACTAGAAAGAAGCATTCTCGGAAACATTTATGTGAAGCGTGCATTCAACTCACAGAGTTGAACCTTCCTTTTGATGGAACAGTTTTGAAACACTCTTTTGAACAATTGCAGGTGAATCTTTGGAGCGCTTTGAAGCCTTTGTTGGAAATGGGAATATCTTCACACACAAACTAGGCAGAAGCATTCTCAGAAACTTCTTTGTGATGTGTGCGTTGAACCCAGAGAGATGAACCTTTCCTTTGATAGAGCAGTTTTGAAACGTGTTTTTGTAAGGTCGGCAAGCGGATAATTGGCTTCGCTTAGTGTCCTTTGGTGGAAACGGGAATATCTTCTAATAAAAACTAGACAGAAATATTCTCAGAATCTTCTTTGTGATGTGGGCATTCAACTAACAGAGTTGAACGTTTCTTTTCACAGAGCAGTTTTGAAACACTCTTTTGGTAGAATCTGCCAGTGGATATTTGGAGCGCTTTGAGGGCTATTGTGCCAACGGAAATATCTGCCCCTAAAAACTAGACAGAAGCATTCTCAGAAACTACTTCGTGATGTTTGCATTCAACACACAGAGTTGAACATACCTCTTCACAGAGCGGTTTTGAAAAACTCTTTCTGTAGAATCTGCAAGTGGATATTCGGACCACTTTGAGGCCTTCATAGGAAACAGTAATATCTTCACATAAAAACTAGATAGAAGCATTGTCAGAAAATTCCTTGTGATGTGTGAATTCAACTCACAGAGTTGAACCTTCCTTTAATAGAGCAGTTTTGAAACACTCTTCTTCTAGAATCTGCAAGTAGATATTTGGAGCGCTTTGAGGCCGTCGTTGGAAACCGGAATATCTTCACAGAAAAAGTAGATAGAGGCATTCTCAGAAACTCTTTTGTGATATGTTGATTCATCTGACAGCGTTGAACCTTTCTTTTGATAGAGCAGTTTTGAAAAACTCTTTTGTCGAATCTGCAAGTAGACATTTGGAGTGCTTTGAGGGCTGTGGTGCCAAAGGAAATGTCTTCCCATGGAAACTAGACTGAAGCATTCTCAGCAACTTCTTTGTGACGTTTGCATTCATCTCACAGTGTTGAACATACCTTTCCATAGAGTAGTTTTGAGACACTATTTTTGTAGAATCTGCAAGCGGATATTTGGACTGCTTTGAGGCCTTCATCGGAGACGGGAATATCTTCACATAAACACTAGACAGAAGCATTCTCAGAAACCTCTTTGTGGTCTGTCCATTCAACTCACAGAGTTGAACCTTCCTTTTTATGGAGCAGTTTTGAAACCCTGTTTTTGGAGAATCTGCAAGTGGATATTTGGAGCGCTTTGAGGCCTATGGTAGAAAAAGAAATATCTACCTATGACAACTAGACAGAAGCATTCTCAGAAACTGCTTTGTGATATGTGCATTCGACTCACCGAGTTGAAACTTTTTTTTGATTGAGCAGTTTTGAAACACTCTGTAGAATCTGAAAGTGGATATTTGGAGCTCTTTGAGGGCTATGGCGGAAAACAAAATATATTCACATTAAAGTAGACAGCAGCATTCTCAGAAACTTCTTTAGGATGTTTGCAGTAAACTCACAGAGTTAAACATATCTTTCCGTAGAGCAGTTTTGAAACACTCTGTTTGTGGGATCCGCAAGTGGATATTTGGGCCCCTTTGAGACCTTTGCTAGAAATGGGAATATCTTCACATATAAACTAGACAGAAGCATTCTCAGAAACTTCTTCGTGATGTGTGCATTGTACTCCCAAATTTGAATCTTCCTTCTCATGGAGCAGTTTTGAAACACTCTGTTTGTGCAATCTACCATTGGAGAATTGGAACGCTTGGATGCCCGTGGTAGAAAAGGAAATATCCTCATATAAAAACTAGACAGAAGGATTCACAGAAAATGCTTTGTGATGTGTGCATTCAAATCACGGAGTTGAATCTTTCTTTTGTCAGAGCAGTTTTGAAACACTGTTTCTGTGGAATCTGCCAGCGGATACTTGGAGCGCTTTGAGGGCTGTGGTGGAGAAGGAAATATCTTCCCATAAAAACTAGAAAGAAGCATTCTCAGAAACATTTATGTGAAGCGTGCATTCAACTTACAGAGTTGAACCTTCCTTTTGATACAACAGTTTTGAAACACTCTTTTGAACAATTGCAGGTGAATCTTTGGAGCGCTTTGAAGCCTTTGTTGGAAATGGGAATATCTTCACACACAAACTAGCCAGAAGCATTCTCAGAAACTTCTTTGTGATGTGTGCGTTGAACCCAGAGAGATGAACCTTTCCTTCGATAGAGCAGTTTTGAAACGTGTTTTTGTAAGATCTGCAAGCGGATAATTGGCTTCGCTTTGTGTCCTTTGGTGGAAACGGGAATATCTTCTAATAAAAACTAGACAGAAATATTCTCAGAATCTTCTTTGTGATGTGGGCAATCAACTAACACAGTTGAACGTTTCTTTTCACAGAGCAGTTTTGAAACACTCTTTTGGTAGAATCTGCCAGTGGATATTTGGAGCGCTTTGAGGGCTATTGTGCCAACGGAAATATCTGCCCCTAAAAACTAGACAGAAGCATTCTCAGAAACTACTTCGTGATGTTTGCATTCAACACACAGAGTTGAACATACCTCTTCACAGAGCAGTTTTGAAAAACTCTTTCTGTAGAATCTGCAAGTGGATATTCGGACCACTTTGAGGCCTTCATAGGAAACAGTAATATCTTCACATAAAAACTAGATAGAAGCATTGTCAGAAAGTTCTTTGTGATGTGTGAATTCAACTCACAGAGTTGAACCTTCCTTTAATAGAGCAGTTTTGAAACACTCTTTTTCTAGAATCTGCAAGTAGATATTTGGAGCGCTTTGAGGCCTTCGTTGGAAACTGGAATATCTTCACATAAAAAGTAGATAGAGGCATTCTCAGAAACTTTTTTGTGATATGTTGATTCATCTGACAGCGTTGAACCTTTCTTTTGATAGAGCAGTTTTGAAAAACTCTTTTGTCGAATCTGCAAGTAGACATGTGGAGTGCTTTGAGGGCTGTGGTGCCAAAGGAAATGTCTTCCCATGGAAACTAGACTGAAGCATTCTCAGCAACTTCTTGGTGACGTTTGCATTCATCTCACAGTGTTGAACATACCTATCCATAGAGTGGTTTTGAAACACTGTTTTTGTAGAATCGGCAAGTGGATATTTGGACTGCTTTGAGGCCTTCATCGGAAACGGGAATATCTTCACATAAACACTAGAGAGAAGCATTCTCAGAAACTTCTTTGTCATCTGTCCATTCAACTCACAGAGGTGAACCTTCCTTTTTATGGAGCAGTTTTGAAACACTGTTTTTGGAGAATCTGCAAGTGGATATTTGGAGCGCTTTGAGGCCTATGGTAGAAAAAGAAATATCTGCCTCTAAAAACCAGACAGAAGCATTCTGAGAAACTTCTTTGTGATGTTTGCATTCAACTACCAGAGTTGAATCTTCCTTTTGATAGGGCAGTTTGGAAACACTCTGTTTGTAGAATCTGCATGTGGATATCTGGAGCGATTTGAGGCCTATGGTCAAAAAGGAAATATCTTCCTGGGAAAAATAGACGAAAGCATTCTCAGAAACTGCTTTGTGATATGTGCATTCGACTCACCGAGCTGAAACTTTTTTTTGATAGAGCAGTTTTGAAACACTCTGTAGAATCTGAAAGTGGATATTTGGAGCTCTTTGAGGGCTATGGCGGAAAAGAAAATATATTCACATTAAACTAGACAGCAGCATTCTCAGAAACTTCTTTAGGATATTTGCAGTAAACTCACAGAGTTGAACATACCTTTCCGAAGAGCAGTTTTGAAACACTCTGTTTGTGGGATCCGCAAGTGGATATTTGGACCGCTTTGAGACCTTTGCTGGAAATGGGAATATCCTCACATATAAACTAGACAGAAGCATTCTCAGAAACTTCTTCGTGATGTGTGCATTCTACTCCCAAATTTGAATCTTCCTTTTCATGAAGCAGTTTTGAAACACTCTATTTGTGCATTCTACAATTGGATGATTGGAACGCTTTGATGCCCATGGTGGAAAAGGAAATATCCTCATATAAAAACTAGACAGAAGGATTCACAGAAAATGCTTTGTGATGTGTGCATTCAAATCACGGAGTTGAATCTTTCTTTTGTTAGAGCAGTTTTGAAACACTGTTTCTGTGGAATCTGCCAGCGGACACTTGGAGCGCTTTGAGGGCTACGGTGGAGAAGGAAATATCTTCACATAAAAACTAAAAAGAAGCATTCTCAGAAACATTTATGTGAAGCGTGCATTCAACTCACAGAGTTGAACCTTCCTTTGGATACAACAGTTTTGAAACACTCTTTTGAACAATTGCAGGTGAATCTTTGGAGCGCTTTGAAGCCCTTGTTGGAATTGGGAATATCTTCACACACAAACTAGCCAGAAGCATTCTCAGAAACTTCTTTGTGATGTGTGCGTTGAACCCAGAGAGATGAACCTTTCCTTGGATAGAGCAGTTTTGAAACGTGTTTTTGTAAGGTCTGCAAGCGGATAATTGGCTTCGCTTTGTGTCCTTTGGTGGAAACGGGAATATCTTCTAATAAAAACTAGACAGAAATATTCTCAGAATCTCCTTTGTGATGTGGGCATTCAACTAACACAGTTGAACATTTCTTTTCACAGAGCAGTTTTGAAACACTCTTTTGGTAGAATCTGCCAGTGGATATTTGGAGAGCTTGGAGGGCTGTTGTGCCAATGGAAATATCTGCCCCTAAAATCTAGACAGAAAGCATTCTCAGAAACTACTTTGTGATGTTTGCATTCAACTCACAGAGTTGAACATACCTCTTCATAGAGCAGTTTTGAAAACCTCTTTTTGTAGAATCTGCAAGTGGATATTCGGACCACTTTGAGGCCTTCATAGGAAACAGTAATACCTTCACATAAAAACTAGATAGAAGCATTGTCAGAAAGTTCTTTGTGATGTGTGAATTCAACTCACAGAGTTGGACCTTCCTTTAATAGAGCAGTTTTGAAACACTCTTTTTCTAGAATCTGCAAGTGGATATTTGGAGCGCTTTGAGGCCTTCGTTGGAAACCGGAATATCTTCACAGGAAAAGTAGATAGAGGCATTCTCAGAAACTTTTCTGTGATATGTAGATTCAACTCACAGCGTTGAACCTTTCTTTGGATGGAGCAGTTTTGAAAAACCCTTTTATCGAATCTGCAGGTAGACATTTGGGGTGCTTTGAGGGCTGTGGTGCAAAAGGTAATGTCTTCCCATAGAAACTAGACTGAAGCATTCTCAGCAACTTCTTGGTGACGTTTGCATTCATCTCACAGTGTTGAACATACCTCTCCATAGAGTGGTTTTGAAACACTCTTTTTGTAGAATCGGCAAGTGGATATTTGGACTGCTTTGAGGCCTTCATCGGAAACGGGAATATCTTCACATAAACACTAGAGAGAAGCATTCTCAGAAACTTCTTTGTGGTCTGTCCATTCAACTCACAGAGTTGAACCTTCCTTTTTATGGAGCAGTTTTGAAACCCTGTTTTTGGAGAATCTGCAAGTGGATATTTGGAGCGCTTTGAGGCCTATGGTAGAAAAAGAAATATCTGCCTATGACAACTAGACAGAAGCATTCTGAGAAACTTCTTTGTGATGTTTGCATTCAACTACCAGAGTTGAACCTTCCTTTTGATAGGGCAGTTTGGAAACACTCTCTTTGTAGAATCTGCATGTGGATATCTGGAGCGATTTGAGGCCTACGGTCCGAAAGGAAATATCTTCCTGGGAAAAATAGACGAAAGCATTCTCAGAAACTGCTTTGTGATATGTGCATTCGACTCACCGAGTTGAAACTTTTCTTGGATAGAGCAGTTTTGAAACACTCTGTAGAATCTGAAAGTGGATATTTGGAGCTCTTTGAGGGCTATGGCGGAAAAGAAAATATATTCACATTAAACTAGACAGCAGCATTCTCAGAAACTTCTTTAGGATGTTTGCAGTAAACTCACAGATTTGAACATACCTTTCCGTAGAGCAGTTTTGAAACACTCTATTTGTGGGATCCGCAAGTGGATATTTGGACCGCTTTGAGACCTTTGCTGGAAATGGGAATATCTTCACGTATAAACTAGACAGAAGCATTCTCAGAAACTTCTTCATGATGTGTGCATTCTACTCCCAAATTTGAATCTTCCTTTTCATGAAGCAGTTTTGAAACACTCGGTTTGTGCAATCCACAATTGGATAATTGGAACGCTTTGATGCCCATGGTAGAAAAGGAAATATCCTCATATAAAAACTAGACAGAAGGATTCACAGAAAATGCTTTGTGATGTGTGCATTCAAATCACGGAGTTGAATCTTTCTTTTGTGAGAGCAGTTTTGAAACACTGTTTCTGTGGAATCTGCCAGCGGACACTTGGAGCGCTTTGAGGGCTATGGTGGAGAAGGAAATATCTTCCCATAAAAACTAGAAAGAAGCATTCTCAGAAACATCTATGTGAAGTGTGCATTCAACTCACAGATTTGAACCTTCCTTTTTCATAGAACAGTTTTGAAACACTCTTTTGTACAATTTTAGGTGAATATTTGGAGCTCTTTGAAGCCTTTGTTGGAATTGGGAATATCTTCACATACAAACTAGCCAGAAGCATTCTCAGAAACTTCTTTGTGATGTGTGCGTTGAACTCAGAGAGATGAACCTTTCCTTTGATAGAGCAGTTTTGAAACGTGTTTCTGTAAGATCTGTATGTGGATATTTGGGGCGCTTTGAGTCCTTTGGTGGAAACGGGAATATCTTCTAATAAAAACTAGACAGAGATATTCTCAGAAACTTCTTTGTGATGTGGGCATTCAACTGACACAGTCGAACGTTTCTTTTCACAGAGCAGTTTTGAAACACTCTTTTGGTCGAATCTGCCAGTGGATATTTGGAGCGCTTTGAGGGCTATTGTGCCAATGGAAATATCTGCCCCTAAAAACTAGACAGAAGCATTCTCAGAAACTTCTTTGTGATGTTTGCATTCAAATACCAGAGTTGAACCTCCCTCTTCATAGAGCAGTTTTGAAATCCTCTTTTTGTAGAATCTGCAAGTGGATATTTGGACCACTTTGAGGCCTTCATAGGAAACAGTACTATCTTCACATAAAAACTAGATAGAAGCATTGTCAGAAAGTTCTTTGTGATGTGTGAATTCAACTCACAGAGTTGAACCTTCCTTTAATAGAGCAGTTTTGAAACGCTCTTTTTCTAGAATCTGCCAGTAGATATTTGGAGCGCTTTGAGGCCTTCGTTGGAAACAGGAATATCTTCACATAAAAAGTAGATAGAGGCATTCTCAGAAACTTTTTTGTGATATGTAGATTCCACTCACAGCGTTGAACCTTTCTTTTGATAGAGCAGTTTTGAAAAATTCTTTTATCGAATCTGCAAGTAGACATTTGGGGTGCTTTGAGGGCTGTGGTGCAAAAGGAAATGTCTTCCCATGGAAACTAGACTGAAGCATTCTCAGCAACTTCTTTGTGACGTTTGCATTCATCTCACAGTGTTGAACATACCTTTCCATAGAGTAGTTTTGAAGCACTATTTTTGTAGAATCTGCAAGTGGATATTTGGACTGCTTTGAGGCCTTCATCGGAGACGGGAATATCTTCACATAAACACTAGACAGAAGCATTCTCAGAAACTTCTTTGTGATCTGTCCATTCAACTCACAGAGTTGAACCTTCCTTTTTATGGAGCAGTTTTGAAACACTGTTTTTGGAGAATCTTCAAGTAGATATTTGGAGCGCTTTGTGGCCTATGTTAGAAAAAGAAATATCTGCCTATAACAACTAGACAGAAGCATTCTGAGAAACTTCTTTGTGATGTTTGCATTCAACTACCTTAGTTGAACCTTCCTTTTGATAGGGCAGTTTGGAAACACTCTTTTTGTAGAATCTGCATGTGGATATCTGGAGCGATTTGAGGCCTATGGTCAAAAAGGAAATATCTTCCTGGGAAAAATAGACGAAAGCATTCTCAGAAACTGCTTTGTGATATGTGCATTCGACTCACCGATTTGAAACTTTTTTTTGATAGAGCAGTTTTGAAACACTCTGTAGAAACTGAAAGTGGATATTAGGAGCTCTTTGAGGGTTATGGCGGAAAAGAAAATATATTCACATTAAACTAGACAGCAGCATTCCCAGAAACTTCTTTAGGATGTTTGCAGTAAACTCACAGAGTTGAACATACCTTTCCGTAGAGCAGTTTTGAAACACTCTGTTTGTGGGATCCGCAAGTGGATATTTGGACCGCTTTGAGACCTTTGCTGGAAACGGGAATATGTTCACATATAAACTAGACAGAAGCATTCTCAGAAACTTCTTCGTGATGTATGCATTCTACTCCCTAATTTGAATCTTCCTTTTCATGAAGCAGTTTTGAAACACTCTATTTGTGCATTCTACAATTGGATGATTGGAACGCTTTGATGCCCATGGTAGAAAAGGAAATATCCTCATATAAAAACTAGACAGAAGGATTCACAGAAAATGCTTTGTGATGTGTGCATTCAAACCACGGAGTTGAATCTTTCTTTTGTTAGAGCAGTTTTGAAACACTGTTTCTGTGGAATCTGCCAGCGGACACTTGGAGCGCTTTGAGGGCTATGGTGGAGAAGGAAACATCTTCCCATAAAAACTAGAAAGAAGCATTCTGAGAACCATTTATGTGAAGCGTGCATTCAACTCACAGAGTTGAACCTTCCTTTTGATAGAACAGTTTTGAAACACTCTTTTGAACAATTGCAGGTGAATATTTGGAGGGCTTTGAAGCCTTTGTTGGAAATGGGAATATCTTCACACACAAACTAGCCAGAAGCATTCTCAGAAACTTCTTTGTGATGTGTGCGTTGAATCCAGAGAGATGAACCTTTCCTTTGATAGAGCAGTTTTGAAACGTGTTTTTGTAAGATCTGCAAACGGATAATTGACTTCGCCTTGTGTCCTTTGGTGGAAACGGGAATATCTTCTAATAAAAACTAGACAGAAATATTCTCAGAATCTCCTTTGTGATGTGGGCATTCAACTAACGCAGTTGAACATTTCTTTTCACAGAGCAGTTTTGAAACACTCTTTTGGTAGAATCTGCCAGTGGATATTTGGAGCGCTTTGAGGGCTGTTGTGCCAATGGAAATATCTGCCCCTAAAATCTAGACAGAAGCATTCTCAGAAACTACTTCGTGATGTTTGCATTCAACTCACAGAGTTGAACATACCTCTTCACAGAGCAGTTTTGAAAACCTCCTTTTGTAGAATCTGCAAGTGGATATTCGGAGCACTTTGAGGCCTTCATAGGAAACAGTAATATCTTCGCATAAAAACTAGATAGAAGCATTGTCAGAAAGTTCTTTGTGATGTGTGAATTCAACTCACAGAGTTGAACCTTCCTTTAATAGAGCAGTTTTGAAACACTCTTTTTTTAGAATCTGCAAGTAGATATTTCGAGCGCTTTGAGGCCTTCGTTGGAAACCGGAATATCTTCACAGGAAAAGTAGATAGAGGCATTCTCAGAAACTTTTTTGTGATATGTTGATTCATCTGACAGCGTTGAACCTTTCTTTTGATAGAGCAGTTTTGAAAAACTCTTTTGTCGAATCTGCAAGTAGACATTTGGAGTGCTTTGAGGGCTGTGGTGCCAAAGGAAATGTCTTCCCATGGAAACTAGACTGAAGCATTCTCAGCAACTTCTTGGTGACGTTTGCATTCATCTCACAGTGTTGAACATACCTTTCCATAGAGTGGTTTTGAAACACTGTTTTTGTAGAATCGGCAAGTGGATATTTGGACTGCTTTGAGGCCTTCGTCGGAAACGGGAATATCTTCACATAAACACTAGAGAGAAGCATTCTCAGAAACTTCTTTGTCATCTGTCCATTCAACTCACAGAAGTTGAACCTTCCTTTTTATGGAGCAGTTTTGAAACACTCCTTTTGGAGAATCTGCAAGTGGATATTTGGAGCGCTTTGAGGCCTATGGTAGAAAAAGAAATATCTGCCTCTAAAAACCAGACAGAAAGCATTCTGAGAAACTTCTTTGTGATGTTTGCCTTCAACTACCAGAGTTGAACCTTCCTTTTGATAGGGCAGTTTGGAAACACTCTTTTTGTAGAATCTGCATGTGGATATCTGGAGCGATTTGAGGCCTACGGTCCAAAAGGAAATATCTTCCTGGGAAAGATAGACGAAGCATTCTCAGAAACTGCTTTGTGATATGTGCATTCGACTCTCCGAGTTGAAACTTTTTTCGGATAGAGCAGTTTTGAAACACTCTGTAGAATCTGAAAGTGGATATTTGGAGCTCTTTGAGGGCTATGGCGGAAAAGAAAAGATATTCACATTAAACTAGACAGCAGCATTCCCAGAAACTTCTTTAGGATGTTTGCAGTAAACTCACAGAGTTGAACACACCTTTCCGTAGAGCAGTTTTGAAACACTCTGTTTGTGGGATCCGCAAGTGGATATTTGGACCGCTTTGAGACCTTTGCTGGAAACGGGAATATCTTCACATATAAACTGGACAGAAGCATTCTCAGAAACTTCTTCGTGATGTGTGCATTCTACTCCCAAATTTGAATCTTCCTTTTCATGAAGCAGTTTTGAAACAATCTGTTTGTGCAATCCACAATTGGATAATTGGAACGCTTTGATGCCCATGGTAGAAAAGGAAATATCCTCATATAAAAACTAGACAGAAGGATCCACAGAAAATGCTTTGTGATGTGTGCATTCAAATCACGGAGTTGAATCTTTCTTTTGTCAGAGCAGTTTTGAAACACTGTTTCTGTGGAATCTGCCAGCGGACACTTGGAGCGCTTTGAGGGCTATGGTGGAGAAGGAAATATCTTCCCATAAAAACTAGAGAGAAGCATTCTCAGAACCATTTATGTGAAGCGTGCGTTCAACTCACGGAGTTGAACCTTCCTTTTGATAGAACAGTTTTGAAACACTCTTTTGAACAATTGCAGGTGAATATTTGGAGGGCTTTGAAGCCTTTGTTGGAAATGGGAATATCTTCACACACAAACTAGCCAGAAGCATTCTCAGAAACTTCTTTGTGATGTGTGCGTTGAACCCAGAGAGATGAACCTTTCCTTTGATAGAGCAGTTTTGAAACGTGTTTTTGTAAGATCTGCAAGCGGATAGTTGGCTTCGCTGTGTGTCCTTTGGTGGAAACGGGAATATCTTCTAATAAAAACTAGACAGAAATATTCTCAGAATCTTCTTCGTGATGTGGGCATTCAACTAACACAGTTGAACCTTACTTTTCACAGAGCAGTTTTGAAACACCCTTTTGGTAGAATCTGCCAGTGGATATTTGGAGCGCTTTGAGGGCTATTGTGCCAACGGAAATATCTGCCCCTAAAAACTAGACAGAAGCATGCTCAGAAACTGCTTTGTGATGTTTGCATTCAACTCACAGAGTTGAACATACCTTTTCATAGAGCAGTTTTGAAAACCTCTTTTTGTAGAATCTGCAAGAGGATATTCGGACCACTATGAGGCCTTCATAGGAAACAGTAATATCTTCACGTAAAAACTAGATAGAAACATTGTCAGAAAGTTCTTTGTGATGTGTGAATTCAACTCACAGAGTTGAACCTTCCTTTAATAGAGCAGTTTTGAAACACTCTTTTTCTAGAATCCGCCAGTAGATATTTGGAGCGCTTTGAGGCCTTCGTTGGAAACCGGAATATCTCCACATAAAAAGTAGATAGAGGCATTCTCAGAAACTTTTTTGTGATATGTAGATTCAACTCACAGCGTTGAACCTTTCTTTGGATGGAGCAGTTTTGAAAAACTCTTTTATCGAATCTGCAGGTAGACATTTGTGGTGCTTTGAGGGCTGTGGTGCAAAAGGAAATGTCTTCCCATAGAAACTAGACTGAAGCATTCTCAGCAACTTCTTGGTGACGTTTGCATTCATCTCACAGTGTTTAACATACCTTTCCATAGAGTAGTTTTGAAACACTGTTTTTGTAGAATCGGCAAGTGGATATTTGGACTGCTTTGAGGCCTTCATCGGAAACGGGAATATCTTCACATAAACACTAGAGAGAAGCATTCTCAGAAACTTCTTTGTGATCTGTCCATTCAACTCACAGAGTTGAACCTTCCTTTTTATGGAGCAGTTTTGAAACACTGTTTTTGGAGAATCTGCAAGTAGATATTTGGAGCGCTTTGTGGCCTATGGTAGAAAAAGAAATATCTGCCTATAACAACTAGACAGAAGCATTCTGAGAAACTTCTTTGTGATGTTTGCATTCAACTACCAGAGGTGAACCTTCCTTTTGATAGGGCAGTTTGGAAACACTCATTTGGAGAATCTGCATGTGGATATCTGGAGCGATTTGAGGCCTACTGTCCAAAAGGAAATATCTTCCTGGGAAAAATAGACGAAAGCATTCTCAGAAACTGCTTTGTGATATGTGCATTCGACTCACCGAGTTGAAACTTTTATTTGATAGAGCAGTTTTGAAACACTCTGTAGAATCTGAAAGTGGATATTTGGAGCTCTTTGAGGGCTATGGCGGAAAAGAAAATATATTCACATTAAACTAGACAGCAGCATTCTCAGAAACTTCTTTAGGATGTCTGCAGTAAACTCACAGAGTTGAACATACCTTTCCGTAGAGCAGTTTTGAAACACTCTGTTTGTGGGATCCGCAAGTGGATATTTGGACCTCTTTGAGATCTTTGCTGGAAATGGGAATATCTTCACATATAAACTAGACAGAAGCATTCTCAAAAACTTCTTCGTGATGTGTGCATTGTTCTCCCAAATTTGAATCTTCCTTCTCATGGAGCAGTTTTGAAACACTCTGTTTGTGCAATCTACAATTGGAGAATTGGAACGCTTGGATGCCCGTGGTAGAAAAGGAAATATCCTCATATAAAAACTAGACAGAAGGATTCACAGAAAATGCTTTGTGATGTGTGCATTCAAATCACGGAGTTGAATCTTTCTTTTGTCAGAGCAGTTTTGAAACACTGTTTCTGTGGAATCTGCCAGCGGACACTTGGAGCGCTTTGAGGGCTATGGTGGAGAAGGAAATATCTTCCCATAAAAACTAGAGAGAAGCATTCTCAGAAACATGTATGTGAAGCGTGAATTCAACTCACAGTGTTGAACCTTCCTTTTGATAGAACAGTTTTTAAACACTCTTTTGAACAATTGCAGGTGAATCTTTGGAGCGCTTTGAAGCCTTTGTTGGAAATGGGAATATCTTCACACACAAACTAGCCAGAAGCATTCTCAGAAACTTCTTTGTGATGCGTACGTTGAACACAGAGAGATGAACCTTTCCTTTGATAGAGCAGTTTTGAAACGTGTTTTTGTAAGATCTGCAAGCGGATAATCGGCTTCGCTTTGTGTCCTTTGGTGGAAACGGGAATATCTTCTAATAAAAACTAGACAGAAATATTCTCAGAATCTCCTTTGTGATGTGGGCATTCAACTAACACAGTTGAACTTTCTTTTCACAGAGCAGTTTAGAAACACTCTTTTGGTAGAATCTGCCAGTGGATATTTGGAGCGCTTTGAGGGCTATTGTGCCAATGGAAATATCTGCCCCTGAAATCTAGACAGAAGCATTCTCAGAAACTACTTCGTGATGTTTGCATTCAACTCACAGAGTTGAACATACCTCTTCATAGAGCAGTTTTGAAAACCTCTTTTTGTAGAATCTGCAAGAGGATATTCGGACCACTTTGAGGCCTTCATAGGAAACAGTAATATCTTCGCATAAAAACTAGATAGAAGCATTGTCAGGAAGTTCTTTGTGATGTGTGAATTCAACTCACAGAGTTGAAACTTCCTTTAATAGAGCAGTGTTGAAACACTCTTTTTCTAGAATCTGCAAGTAGATATTTGGAGCGCTTGGAGGCCTTCGTTGTAAACCGGAATATCTTCACAGGAAATGTAGATAGAGGCATTCTCAGAAACTTTTTTGTGATATGTAGATTCAACTCACAGCGTTGAACCTTTCTTTGGATGGAGCAGTTTTGAAAAACTCTTTTATCGAATCTGCAGGTAGACATTCGGGGTGCTTTGAGGGCTGTGCTGCAAAAGGAAATGTCTTCCCATAGAAACTAGACTGAAGCATTCTCAGCAACTTCTTGGTGACGTTTGCATTCATCTCACAGTGTTGAACATACCTTTCCATAGAGTAGTTTTGAAACACTGTTTGTGTAGAATCGGCAAGTGGATATTTGGACTGCTTTGAGGCCTTCATCGGAAACGGGAATATCTTCACATAAACACTAGAGAGAAGCATTCTCAGAAACTTCTTTGTGGTCTGTGCATTCAACTCACAGAGTTGAACCTTCCTTTTTATGGAGCAGTTTTGAAACCCTGTTTTCGGAGAATCTGCAAGTGGATATTTGGAGCGCTTTGAGGCCTATGGTAGAAAAAGAAATATCTGCCTATGACAGATAGACAGAAGCATTCCGAGAAAAGTTCTTTGTGATGTTTGCATTCAACTAGCAGAGTTGAACCTTCCTTTTGATAGGGCAGTTTGGAAACACTCTTTTTGTAGAATCTTCATGTGGATATCTGGAGCGGTTTGAGGCCTACGGTCAAAAAGGAAATATCTTCCTGGGAAAAATAGACGAAAGCATTCTCAGAAACTGCTTTGTGATATGTGCATTCGACTCACCGAGTTGAAACTTTTTTTTGATAGAGCAGTTTTGGAACACTCTGTAGAATCTGAAAGTGTATATTTGGAGCTCTTTGAGGGCTATGGCGGAAAAGAAAATATATTCACATTAAACTAGACAGCAGCATTCTCAGAAACTTCTTTAGGATGTTTGTAGTAAACTCACAGAGTTGAACATACCTTTCCGTAGAGCAGTTTTGAAACACTCTGTTTGTGGGATCCGCAAGGGGATATTTGGACCGCTTTGAGACCTTTGCTGGAAATGGGAATATCTTCACATATAAACTAGACAGAAGCATTCTCAGAAACTTCTTCGTGATGTGTGCATTGTACTCCCAAATTTGAATCTTCCTTCTCATGGAGCAGTTTTGAAACACTCTGTTTGTGCAATCTACAATTGGAGAATTGGAAGGCTTGGATGCCCATGGTAGAAAAGGAAATATCCTCATATAAAAACTAGACAGAAGGATTCACAGAAAATGCTTTGTGATGTGTGCATTCAAATCACGGAGTTGAATCTTTCTTTTGTTAGAGCAGTTTTGAAACACTGTTTCTGTGGAATCTGCCAGCGGACACTTGGAGCGCTTTGAGGGCTATGGTGGAGAAGGAAATATCTTCACATAAAAACTAGAAAGAAGCATTCTCAGAAACATTTATGTGAAGCGTGCGTTCAACTCACAGAGTTGAACCTTCCTTTTGATAGAACAGGTTTGAAACACTCTTTTGAACAATTGCAGGTGAATATTTGGAGGGCTTTGAAGCCTTTGTTGGAAATGGGAATATCTTCACACACAAACTAGCCAGAAGCATTCTCAGAAACTTCTTTGTGATGTGTGCATTGAACCCAGAGAGATGAACCTTTCCTTTGATAGAGCAGTTTTGAAACGTGTTTTTGTAAGATCTGCAAGCGGATAATTGGCTTCGCTTTGTGTCCTTTGGTGGAAACGGGAATATCTTCTAATAAAAACTAGACAGAAATATTCTCAAAATCTCCTTTGTGATGTGGGCATTCAACTAACACAGTTGAACATTTCTTTTCACAGAGCAGTTTTGAAACACTCTTTTGGTAGAATCTGCCAGTGGATATTTGGAGCGCTTGGAGGGCTATTGTGCCAATGGTAATATCTGCCCCTGAAAACTAGACAGAAGCATTCTCAGAAACTGCTTTGTGATGTTTGCATTCAACTCACAGAGTTGAACCTACCTCTTGATAGAGCAGTTTGGAAAACCTCTTCTTGTAGAATCTGCAAGTGGATATTCGGACCACTTTGAGGCCTTCATAGGAAACAATAATATCTTCACATAAAAACTAGATAGAAGCATTGTCAGAAAGTTCTTTGTGATGTGTGAATTCAACTCACAGAGTTGAACCTTCCTTTAATAGAGCAGTTTTGAAACACTCTTTTTCTAGAATCTGCAAGTAGATATTTGGAGCCCTTTGAGGCCTTCTTTGGAAACCGGAATATCTTCACATAAAAAGTAGATAGAGGCATTCTCAGAAACTTTTTTGTGAAATGTAGATTCAACTCACAGCGTTGAACCTTTCTTTGGATGGAGCAGTTTTGAAAAACCCTTTTATCGAATCTGCAGGTAGACATTCGGGGTGCTTTGAGGGCTGTGGTGCAAAAGGAAATGTCTTCCCATAGAAACTAGACTGAAGCATTCTCAGCAACTTCTTTGTGACGTTTGCATTCATCTCACAGTGTTGAACATACCTTTCCATAGAGTAGTTTTGAGACACTATTTTTGTAGAATCTGCAAGTGGATATTTGGACTGCTTTGAGGCCTTCATCGGAGACGGGAATATCTTCACATAAACACTAGGCAGAAGCATTCTCAGAAACTTCTTTGTGATCTGTCCATTCAACTCACAGAGTTGAACCTTCCTTTTTATGGAGCAGTTTTGAAACACTGTTTGTGAAGAATCTGCAAGTGGATATTTGCAGCGCCTTGAGGCCAATGGTAGAAAAAGAAATATCTGCCTCTAAATACTAGACTGAAGCATTCTGAGAAACTTCTTTGTGATGTTTGCTTTCAGCTACCAGAGTTGAACCTTCCTTTTGATAGGGCAGTTTGGAAACACTCTTTTTGTAGAATCTGCATGTGGATATCTGGAGCGATTTGAGGCCTACGGTCAAAAAGGAAATATCTTCCTGGGAAAAATAGACGAAAGCATTCTCAGAAAGTGCTTTGTGATATGCGCATTCGACTCACCGAGTTGAAACTTTTTTTTGATAGAGCAGTTTTGAAACACTCTGTAGAATCTGAAAGTGGATATTTGGAGCTCTTTGAGGGCTATGGCGGAAAAGAAAATATATTCACATTAAAGTAGACAGCAGCATTCTCAGAAACTTCTTTAGGATGTTTGCAGTAAACTCACAGAGTTGAACATACCTTTCCGTAGAGCAGTTTTGAAACACTCTGTTTGTGGGATCCGCAAGTGGATATTTGGACCGCTTTGAGACCTTTGCTGGAAATGGGAATATCTGCACATATAAACTAGACAGAAGCATTCTCAGAAACTTCTTCGTGATGTGTGCATTCTCCTCCCGAATTTGAATCTTCCTTTTCATGAAGCAGTTTTGAAACACTCTGTTTGTGCAATCCACAATTGGATAATTGGAACGCTTTGATGCCCATGGTAGAAAAGGAAATATCCTCATATAAAAACTAGACAGAAGGATTCACAGAAAATGCTTTGTGATGTGTGCATTCAAATCACGGAGTTGAATCTTTCTTTTGTTAGAGCAGTTTTGAAACACTGTTTCTGTGGAATCTGCCAGCGGACACTTGGAGCGCTTTGAGGGCTATGGTGGAGAAGGAAATATCTTCCCATAAAAACTAGACAGAAGCATTCTCAGAACCATTTATGTGAAGCGTGCATTCAACTCTCAGAGTTGAACCTTCCTTTTGTTAGAACAGTTTTGAAACACTCTTTTGAACAATTGCAGGTGAATATTTGGAGCGCTTTGAAGCCTTTGCTGGAAATGGGAATATCTTCACGCACAAAGTAGCCAGAAGCATTCTCAGAAACTTCTTTGTGATGTGTGCGTTGAACCCAGAGAGATGAACCTTTCCTTTGATAGAGCAGTTTTGAAACGTGTTTTTGTAAGGTCGGCAAGCGGATAATTGGCTTCGCTTTGTGTCCTTTGGTGGAAACGGGAATATCTTCTAATAAAAACTAGACAGAAATATTCTCAGAATCTCCTTTGTGATGTGGGCATTCAACTAACACAGTTGAACATTTCTTTTCACAGAGCAGTTTTGAAACACTCTTTTGGTAGAATCTGCCAGTGGATATGTGGAGCGCTTGGAGGGCTATTGTGCCAATGGAAATATCTGCCCCTGAAAACTAGACAGAAGCATTCTCAAAAACTGCTTTGTGATGTTTGCATTCAACTCACAGAGTTGAACATACCTCTTCATAGAGCAGTTTTGAAAACCTCTTTTTGTAGAATCTGCAAGTGGATATTCGGACCACTTTGAGGCCTTCATCGGAAACAGTAATATCATCACATAAAAACTAGATAGAAGCATTGTCAGAAAGTTCTTTGTGATGTGTGAATTCAACTCACATAGTTGAACCTTCCTTTAATAGAGCAGTTTTAAACACTCTTTTTCTAGAATCTGCCAGTAGATATTTGGAGCGCTTTGAGGCCTTCGTTGGAAACCGGAATATCTTCACATAAAAAGTAGATAGAGGCATTCTCAGAAACTTTTCTGTGATATGTAGATTCAACTCACAGCGTTGAACCTTTCTTTTGATAGAGCGGTTTTGAAAAACTCTTATGTCGAATCTGCAAGTAGACATTTGGAGTGCTTTGAGGGCTGTGGTGCAAAAGGAAATGTCTTCCCATAGAAACTAGACTGAAGCATTCTCAGCAACTTCTTTGTGACGTTTGCATTCATCTCACAGTGTTGAACATACCTTTCCATAGAGTAGTTTTGAAACACTGTTTTTGTAGAATCTGCAAGTGGATATTTGGACTGCTTTGAGGCCTTCATCGGAAACGGGAATATCTTCACATAAACACTAGAGAGAAGCATTATCAGAAACTTCTTTGTGGTCTGTCCATTCAACTCACAGAGTTGAACCTTCCTTTTTATGGAGCAGTTTTGAAACACTGTTTTCGGAGAATCTGCAAGTGGATATTTGGAGCGCTTTGAGGCCTATGGTAGAAAAAGAAATATCTGCCTATGACAACTAGACAGAAGCATTCTGAGAAACTTCTTTGTGATGTTTGCATTCAACTACCAGAGGTGAACCTTCCTTTTCATAGGGCAGTTTGGAAACACTCTTTTTGTAGAATCTGCATGTGGATATCTGGAGCGATTTGAGGCCTACGGTCCAAAAGGAAATATCTTCCGGGGAAAAATAGACGAAAGCATTCTCAGAAACTGCTTTGTGATATGTGCATTCGACTCTCCGAGTTGAAACTTTTTTTGGATAGAGCAGTTTTGAAACACTCTGTAGGATCTGAAAGTGGATATTTGGAGCTCTTTGAGGGCTATGGCGGAAAAGAAAATATATTCACATTAAACTAGACAGCAGCATTCTCAGAAACTTCTTTAGGATGTTTGTAGTAAACTCACAGAGTTGAACATACCTTTCCGTAGAGCAGTTTTGAAACACTCTGTTTGTGGGATCCGCAAGTGGATATTTGGACCGCTTTGAGACCTTTGCTGGAAATGGGAATATCTTCACATATAAACTAGACAGAAGCATTCTCAGAAACTTCTTCGTGATGTGTGCATTCTACTCCCAAATTTGAATCTTCCTTCTCATGAAGCAGTTTTGAAACACTCTATTTGTGCAATCTACAATTGGATAATTGGAACCCTTTGATGCCCATGGTAGAAAAGGAAATATCCTCATATGAAAACTAGACAGAAGGATTCACAGAAAATGCTTTGTGATGTGTGCATTCAAATCACGGAGTTGAATCTTTCTTTTGTTAGAGCAGTTTTGAAACACAGTTTCTGTGGAATCTGCCAGCGGACACTTGGAGCGCTTTGAGGGCTACGGTGGAGAAGGAAATATCTTCACATAAAAACTAGAAAGAAGCATTCTCAGAAACATTTATGTGAAGCGTGCATTCAACTCACAGAGTTGAACCTTCCTTTTGATACAACAGTTTTGAAACACTCTTTGGAACAATTGCAGGTGAATCTTTGGAGCGCTTTGAAGCCTTTGTTGCAAATGGGAATATCTTCACACACAAACTAGCCAGAAGCATTCTCAGAAACTTCTTTGTGATGTGTGCGTTGTACCCAGAGAGATGAACCTTTCCTTCGATAGAGCAGTTTTGAAACGTGTTTTTGTAAGATCGGCAAGCGGATAATTGGCTTCGCTTTGTGTCCTTTGGTGGAAACGGGAATATCTTCTAATAAAAACTAGACAGAGATATTCTCAGAAACTTCTTTGTGATGTGGGCATTCAAGTAACACAGTTGAACATTTCTTTTCACAGAGCAGTTTTGAAACACTCTTTTGGTCGAATCTGCCAGTGGATATTTGGAGTGCTTTGAGGGCTATTGTGCCAATGGAAATATCTGCCCCTAAAAACTAGACAGAAGCATTCTCAGAAACTGCTTCGTGATGTTTGCATTCAACACACAGAGTTGAACATACCTCTTCACAGAGCAGTTTTGAAAACCTCTTTCTGTAGAATCTGCAAGTGGATATTCGGACCACTTTGAGGCCTTCATAGGAAACAGTAATATCTTCACATAAAAACTAGATAGAAGCATTGTCAGAAAGTTCTTTGTGATGTGTGAATTCAACTCACAGAATTGAACCTTCCTTCAGCAGAGCAGTTGTGAAACACTCTTTTTCTAGAATCTGCAAGTAGATATTTGGAGCGCTTTGAGGCCTTCGTTGGAAACCGGAATATCTTCACAGGAAAAGTAGATAGAGGCATTCTCAGAAACTTTTTTGTGATATGTAGATTCAACTCACAGCGTTGAACCTTTCTTTGGATGGAGCAGTTTTGAAAAATTCTTTAATCGAATCTGCAGGTAGACATTTGGGGTGCTTTGAGGGCTGTGGTGCAAAAGGAAATGTCTTCCCATAGAAACTAGACTGAAGCATTCTCAGCAACTTCTTTGTGACGTTTGCATTCATCTCACAGTGTTGTACATACCTTTCCATCGAGTACTTTTGAAACACTGTTTTTGTAGAATCTGCAAGTGGATATTTGGACTGCTTTGAGGCCTTCATCGGAAACGGGAATATCTTCACATAAACACTAGAGAGAAGCATTCTCAGAAACTTCTTTGTCATCTGTCCATTCAACTCACAGAGTTGAACCTTCCTTTTTATGGAGCAGTTTTGAAACACTCCTTTTGGAGAATCTGCAAGTGGATATTTGGAGCACTTTGAGGCCTATGGTAGAAAAAGAAATATCTGCCTCTAAAAACCAGACAGAAGCATTCCGAGAAACTCCTTTGTGATGTTTGCATTCAACTAGCAGAGTTGAACCTTCCTTTTGATAGGGCAGTTTGGAAACACTCTTTTTGTAGAATCTGCATGTGGATATCTGGAGCGGTTTGAGGCCTACGGTCAAAAAGGAAATATCTTCCTGGGAAAAATAGACGAAAGCATTCTCAGAAACTGCTTTGTGATATGTGCATTCGACTCACCGAGTTGAAACTTTTTTTTGATAGAGCAGTTTTGAAACACTCTGTAGAATCTGAAAGTGGATATTTGGAGCTCTTTGAGGGCTATGGCGGAAAAGAAAATATATTCACATTAAAGTAGACAGCAGCATTCTCAGAAACTTCTTTAGGATGTCTGCAGTAAACTCACAGAGTTGAACATACCTTTCCATAGAGCAGTTTTGAAACACTCTGTTTGTGGGATCCGCAAGTGGATATTTGGACAGCTTTGAGATCTTTGCTGGAAATGGGAATATCTTCACATATAAACTAGACAGAAGCATTCTCAGAAACTTCTTCGTGATGTGTGCATTCTACTCCCAAATTTGAATCTTCCTTCTCATGAAGCAGTTTGGAAACACTCTATTTGTGCAATCTACAATTGGATAATTGGAACCCTTTGATGCCCATGGTAGAAAAGGAAATATCCTCATATAAAAACTAGACAGAAGGATTCACAGAAAATGCTTTGTGATGTGTTCATTCAAATCACGGTGTTGAATCTTATTTTGTTAGAGCAGTTTTGAAACACTGTTTCTGTGGAATCTGCCCGCGGACACTTGGAGCGCTTTGAGGGCTATGGTGGAGAAGGAAATATCTTCACATAAAAACTAGAAAGAAGAATTCTCGGAAACATTTATGTGAAGCGTGCATTCAACTCACAGAGTTGAACCTTTCTTTTGATAGAACAGTTTTGAAACACTCTTTTGAACAATTGCAGGTGAATCTTTGGAGCGCTTTGAAGCCTTTGTTGGAAATGGGAATATCTTCACACACAAACTAGCCAGAAGCATTCTCAGAAACTTCTTTGTGATGTGTGCGTTGAACCCAGAGAGATGAACCTTTCCTTCGATAGAGCAGTTTTGAAACGTGTTTTTGTAAGATCGGCAAGCGGATAATTGGCTTCGCTTTGTGTCCTTTGGTGGAAACGGGAATATCTTCTAATAAAAACTAGACAGAAATATTCTCAGAATCTCCTTTGTGATGTGGGCATTCAACTAACACAGTTGAACATTTCTTTTCACAGAGCAGTTTTGAAACACTCTTTTGGTAGAATCTGCCAGTGGATATTTGGAGTGTTTGGAGGGCTATTGTGCCAATGGAAATATCTGCCACTGAAATCTAGACAGAAGCATTCTCAGAAACTACTTCGTGATGTTTGCATTCAACACACAGAGTTGAACATACCCCTTCACAGAGCAGTTTTGAAAACCTCTTTCTGTAGAATCTGCAAGTGGATATTCGGACCACTTTGAGGCCTTCATAAGAAACAGTAATATCTTCACATAAAAACTAGATAGAAGCATTGTCAGAAAGTTCTTTGTGATGTGTGAATTCAACTCACAGAATTGAACCTTCCTTCAATAGAGCAGTTGTGAAACACTCTTTTTCTAGAATCTGCAAGTAGATATTTGGAGCGCTTTGAGGCCTTCGTTGGAAACCGGAATATCTTCACAGGAAAAGTAGATAGAGGCATTCTCAGAAACTTTTTCGTGTTATGTGGATTCAACTCACAGCGTTGAACATTTCTTTTGATAGAGCAGTTTTGTAAAACTCTTTTATCGAATCTGCAAGTAGACATTTGGAGTGCTTTGAGGGCTGTGGTGCAAAAGGAAATGTCTTCCCATAGAAACTAGACTGAAGCATTCTCATCAACTTCTTTGTGACGTTTGCATTCATCTCACAGTGTTGAACATTCCTTTCCATAGGGTAGTTTTGAAGCACTATTTTTGCAGAATCTGCAAGTGGATATTTGGACTGCTTTGAGGCCTTCATCGGAAACGGGAATATCTTCACATAAACACTAGACAGAAGCATTCTCAGAAACTTCTTTGTGGTCTGTCCATTCAACTCACAGAGTTGAACCTTCCTTTTTATGGAGCAGTTTTGAAACACTGTTTTCGGAGGATCTGCAAGTGGATATTTGGAGCGCTTTGAGGCCTATTGTAGAAAAAGAAATATCTGCCTATGACAACTAGACAGAAGCATTCCGAGAAACTTCTCTGTGATGTTTGCATTCAACTAGCAGAGTTGAACCTTCCTTTTGATAGGGCAGTTTGGAAACACTCTTTTTGTAGAATCTGCATGTGGATATCTGGAGCGGTTTGAGGCCTACGGTCAAAAAGGAAATATCTTCCTGGGAAAAATAGACGAAAGTATTCTCAGAAACTGCTTTGTGATATGTGCATTCGACTCACCGAGTTGAAACTTTTTTTGGATAGAGCAGTTTTGAAACACTCTGTAGAATCTGAAGGTGGATATTTGGAGCTCTTTGAGGGCTATGGCGGAAAAGAAAAGATATTCACATTAAACTAGACAGCAGCATTCTCAGAAACTTCTTTAGGATGTTTGCGGTAAACTCACAGAGTTGAACCTACCTTTCCATAGAGCAGTTTTGAAACACTCTGTTTGTGGGATCCGCAAGTGGATATTTGGACCGCTTTGAGGCCTTTGCTGGAAATGGGAATATCTTCACATATAAACTAGACAGAAGCATTCTCAGTAACTTCTTCGTGATGTGTGCATTCTACTCCCGAATTTGAATCTTCCTTTTCATGAAGCAGTTTTGAAACACTCTGTTTGTGCAATCCACAATTGGATAATTGGAACGCTTTGATGCCCATGGTAGAAAAGGAAATATCCTCATATAAAAACTAGACACAAGGATTCACAGAAAATGCTTTGTGATGTGTGCATTCAAATCACGGAGTTGAATCTTTCTTTTGTCAGAGCAGTTTTGAAACACTGTTTCTGTGGAATCTGCCAGCGGACACTTGGAGCGCTTTGAGGGTTGTGGTGGAGAAGGAAATATCTTCCCATAAAAACTAGAAAGAAGCATTCTCAGAACCATTTATGTGAAGCGTGCATTCAACTCACAGAGTTGAACCTTCCTTTTGATAGAACAGTTTTGAAACACTCTTTTGAACAATTGCAGGTGAATATTTGGAGGGCTTTGAAGCCTTTGTTGGAAACGGGAATATCTTCACACACAAACTAGCCAGAAGCATTCTCAGAAACTTCTTTGTGATGTGTGCGTTGAACCCAGAGAGATGAACCTTTCCTTTGATAGAGCAGTTTTGAAACGTGTTTTTGTAAGATCTGCAAGCGGATAATTGGCTTCGCTTTGTGTCCTTTGTTGGAAACGGGAATATCTTCTAATAAAAACTAGACAGAAATATTCTCAGAATCTTCTTTGTGATGTGGGCATTCAACTAACAGAGTTGAACATTTCTTGTGACAGAGCAGTTTTGAAACACTCTTTTTGTAGAATCTGCCAGTGGATATTTGGAGCGCTTTGAGGGCTTTGTAGAAATGGAAAAGTCTTCACCTAAAAACTAGACAGAAGCATTCTCAGAAACTGCTTCGGGATGTTTGCATTCAACTCACAGAGTTGAATATACCTCTGCATAGAGCAGTTTTGAAAACCTCTTTTTGTAGAATCTGCAAGTGGATATTCGGACCACTTTGAGGCCTTCATGGGAAACAGTAATATCTTCACATAAAAACTAGATAGAAGCATAGTCAGAAAGTTCTTTGTGATGTGTGAATTCAAATCACAGAATTGAAACTTCCTTTAATAGAGCAGTTTTGAAACACTCTTTTTCTAGAATCTGGAAGTAGATATTTGGAGCGCTTTGAGGCCTTCGTTGGAAACCGGAATATCTTCACATAAAAAGCAGATAGAGGCATTCTCAGAAACTTTTTCGTGATATGTGGATTCAACTCACAGCGTTGAACCTTTCTTTTGATAGAGCAGTTTTGTAAAACTCTTTTATCGAATCTGCAAGTAGACATTTGGAGTGCTTTGAGGGCTGTGGTGCAAAAGGAAATGTCTTCCCATAGAAACTAGATTGAAGCATTCTCAGCAACTTCTTGGTGACGTTTGCATTCATCTCACAGTGTTGAACATACCTTTCCATAGAGTGGTTTTGAAACACTGTTTCTGTAGAATCTGCAAGTGGATATTTGGACTGCTTTGAGGCCTTCATCGGAAACGGGAATATCTTCACATAAACACTAGAGAGAAGCATTCTCAGAAACTTCTTTGTGGTCTGTCCATTCAACTCACAGAGTTGAACCTTCCTTTTTATGGAGCAGTTTTGAAACACTGTTTTCGGAGGATCTGCAAGTGGATATTTGGAGCGCTTTGAGGCCTACGGTAGAAAAAGAAATATCTGCCTATGACAACTAGACAGAAGCATTCTGAGAAACTTCTTTGTGATGTTTGCATTCAACTAGCAGAGTTGAACCTTCCTTTTGATAGGGCAGTTTGGAAACACTCTTTTTGTAGAATCTGCATGTGGATATCTGGAGCGATTTGAGGCCTACGGTCAAAAAGGAAATATCTTCCTGGGAAAAATAGACGAAAGCATTCTCACAAAGTGCTTTGTGATATGTGCATTCGACTCACCGAGTTGAAACTTTTTTTTGATAGAGCAGTTTTGAAACACTCTGTAGAATCTGAAAGTGGATATTTGGAGCTCTTTGAGGGCTATGGCGGAAAAGAAAATATATTCATATTAAACTAGACAGCAGCATTCTCAGAAACCTCTTTAGGATGTTTGCAGTAAACTCACAGAGTTGAACATACCTTTCCGTAGAGCAGTTTTGAAACACTCTGTTTGTGGGATCCGCAAGTGGATATTTGGACCGCTTTGAGACCTTTGCTGGAAATGCGAATATCTGCACATATAAACTAGACAGAAGCATTCTCAGAAACTTCTTCGTGATGTGTGCATTCTACTCCCAAATATGAATCTTCCTTTTCATGAAGCAGTTTTGAAACACTCTATTTGTGCATTCTACAATTGGATGATTGGAACGCTTTGATGCCCATGGTAGAAAAGGAAATATCCTCATATAAAAACTAGACAGAAGGATTCACAGAAAATGCTTTGTGATGTGTGCATTCAAATCACGGAGTTGCATCTTTCTTTTGTGAGAGCAGTTTTGAAACACTGTTTCTGTGGAATCTGCCAGCGGACACTTGGAGCGCTTTGAGGGCTATGGTGGAGAAGGAAATATCTTCCCATAAAAACTAGAAAGAAGCATTCTCGGAAACATTTATGTGAAGCGTGCATTCAACTCACAGAGTTGAACCTTTCTTTTGAGAGAACAGTTTTGAAACACTCTTTTGAACAATTGCAGGTGAATCTTTGGAGCGCTTTGAAGCCTTTGTTGGAAATGGGAATATCTTCACACACAAACTAGCCAGAAGTATTCTCAGAAACTTCTTTGTGATGTGTGCGTTGAACCCAGAGAGATGAACCTTTCCTTGGATAGAGCAGTTTTGAAACGTGTTTTTGTAAGTTCTACAAGCGGATAATTGGCTTCGCTTTGTGTCCTTTGGTGGAAACGGGAATATCTTCTAATAAAAACTAGACAGAAATATTCTCAGAATCTCCTTTGTGATGTGGGCATTCAACTAACACAGTTGAACATTTCTTTTCACAGAGCAGTTTTGAAACACTCTTTTGGTAGAATCTGCCAGTGGATATTTGGAGCGCTTGGAGGGCTATTGTGCCAATGGTAATATCTGCCCCTGAAAACTAGACAGAAGCATTCTCAGTAAACTGCTTTGTGATGTTTGCATTCAACTCACAGAGTTGAACATACCTTTTCATAGAGCAGTTTTGAAAACCTCTTTTTGTAGAATCTGCAAGAGGATATTCGGACCACTTTGAGGCCTTCATAGGAAACAGTAATATCTTCGCATAAAAACTAGATAGAAGCATTGTCAGAAAGTTCTTTGTGATGTGTGAATTCAACTCACAGAGTTGAACCTTCCTTTAATAGAGCAGTTTTGAAACACTCCTTTTCTAGAATCTGCAAGTAGATATTTGGAGCGCTTTGAGGCCTTCGTTGGAAACCGGAATATCTTCACAGGAAAAGTAGATAGAGGCATTCTCAGAAACTTTTTTGTGATAAGTAGATTCAACTCACAGCGTTGAACCTTTCTTTTGATAGAGCAGTTTTGAAAAACTCTTTTATCGAATCTGCAAGTAGACATTTGGAGTGCTTTGAGGGCTGTGGTGCAAAAGGAAATGTCTTCCCATAGAAACTAGACTGAAGCATTCTCAGCAACTTCTTTGTGACGTTTGCATTCATCTCACAGTGTTGAACATACCTTTCCATAGAGTAGTTTTGAAACACTATTTTTGTAGAATCTGCAAGTGGATATTTGGACTGCTTTGAGGTCTTCATCGGAAACGGGAATATCTTCACATAAACACTAGACAGAAGCATTCTCAGAAACTTCTTTGTGATCTGTCCATTCAACTCACAGAGTTGAACCTTCCTTTTTATGGAGCAGTTTTGAAACACTGTTTTTGGAGAATCTGCAAGTGGATATTTGGAGCGCTTTGAGGCCTATGGTAGAAAAAGAAATATCTGCCTCTAAAAACTAGACAGAAGCATTCTCAGAAACTGCTTTGTGATATGTGCATTCGACTCACCGAGTTGAAATTTTTTTTGATAGAGCAGTTTTGAAACACTCTGTAGAATCTGAAAGTGGATATTTGGAGCTCTTTGAGGGCTATGGCGGAAAAGAAAATATATTCACATTAAAGTAGACAGCAGCATTCCCAGAAACTTCCTTAGGATGTTTGCAGTAAACTCACAGAGTTGAGCATTCCTTTCCGTAGAGCAGTTTTGAAACACTCTGTTTGTGGGATCCGCAAGTGGACATTTGGACCGCTTTGAGACCTTTGCTGGAAATGGGAATATCTTCACATATAAACTGGACAGAAGCATTCTCAGAAGCTTCTTCGTGATGTGTGCATTCTACTCCCAAATTTGAATCTTCCTTTTCATGAAGCAGTTTTGAAACACTCTGTTTGTGCAATCCACAATTGGATAATTGGAAAGCTTTGATGCCCATGGTAGAAAAGGAAATATCCTCATATAAAAACTAGACAGAAGGATTCACAGAAAATGCTTTGTGATGTGTGCATTCAAATCACGGAGTTGAATCTTTCTTTTGTTAGAGCAGATTTGAAAGACTGTTTCTGTGGAATCTGCCAGCGGACACTTGGAGCGCTTTGAGGGCTACGGTGGAGAAGGAAATATCTTCACATAAAAACTAGAAAGAAGCATTCTCAGAACCATTTATGTGAAGCGTCCTTTCAACTCACAGAGTTGAACCTTCCTTTTGATAGAACAGTTTTGAAACACTCTTTTGAACAATTGCAGGTGAATATTTGGAGGGCTTTGAAGCCTTTGTTGGAAATGGGAATATCTTCACACACAAACTAGCCAGAAGCTTTCTCAGAAACTTCTTTGTGATGTGTGCGTTGAACCCAGAGAGATCAACCTTTCCTTTGATAGAGCAGTTTTGAAACGTGTTTTTGTAAGATCTGCAAGCGGATAGTTGGCTTCGCTTTGTGTCCTTTGGTGGAAACGGGAATATCTTCTAATAAAAACTAGACAGAAATATTCTCACAATCTCCTTTGTGATGTGGGCATTCAACTAACACAGTTGAACATTTCTTTTCACAGAGCAGTTTTGAAACACTCTTTTGGTAGAATCTGCCAGTGGATATTTGGAGCGCTTTGAGGGCTGTTGTGCCAATGGAAATATCTGCCCCTAAAATCTAGACAGAAGCATTCTCAGAAACTACTTCGTGATGTTTGCATTCAACTCACAGAGTTGAACATAACTCTTCATAGAGCAATTTTGAAAACCTCTTTTTGGAGAATCTGCAAGTGGATATTCAGACCACTTTGAGGCCTTCATAGGAAACAGTAATATCTTCACATAAAAACTATATAGAAGCATTGTCAGAAAGTTCTTTGTGATGTGTGAATTCAACTCACAGAGTTGAACCTTCCTTCAATTGAGCAGTTGTGAAACACTCTTTTTCTAGAATCTGCAAGTAGATATTTGGAGCGCTTTGAGGCCTTCGTTGGAAACCGGAATATCTTCACAGGAAAAGTAGATAGAGGCATTCTCAGAAACTTTTTCGTGATATGTGGATTCAACTCACAGCGTTGAACCTTTCTTTTGATAGAGCAGTTTTGTAAAACTCTTTTATCGAATCTGCATGTAGACATTTGGAGTGCTTTGGGGGCTGTGGTGCAAAAGGAAATGTCTTCCCATAGAAACTAGACTGAAGCATTCTCAGCAACTTCTTGGTGACGTTTGCATTCATCTCACAGTGTTGAACATACCTTTCCATAGAGTAGTTTTGAAACACTGTTTTTGTAGAATCGGTAAGTGGATATTTGGACTGCTTTGAGGCCTTCATCGGAAACGGGAATATCTTCACATAAACACTAGAGAGAAGCATTCTCAGAAACTTCTTTGTGATCTGTCCATTCAACTCAGAGAGTTGAACCTTCCTTTTTATGGAGCAGTTTTGAAACACTGTTTGTGGAGAATCTGCAAGTGGATATTTGGAGCGCCTTGAGGCCAATGGTAGAAAAAGAAATATCTGCCTCTAAATACTAGACTGAAGCATTCTGAGAAACTTCTTTGTGATGTTTGCCTTCAACTACCAGAGTTGAACCTTCCTTTTGATAGGGCAGTTTGGAAACACTCTTTTTGTAGAATCTGCATGTGGATATCTGGAGCGATTTGAGGCCTACGGTCCAAAAGGAAATATCTTCCTGGGAAAAATAGACGAAAGCATTCTCAGAAACTGCTTTGTGATATGTGCATTCGACTCACCTAGTTGAAACTTTTTTTGGATAGAGCAGTTTTGAAACACTCTGTAGAATCTGAAAGTGGATATTTGGAGCTCTTTGAGGGCTATGGCGGAAAAGAAAATATATTCACATTAAACTAGACAGCAGCATTCTCAGAAACTTCTTTAGGATGTTTGCAGTAAACTCACAGAGTTGAACATACCTTTCGGTAGAGCAGTTTTGAAACACTGTTTGTGGGATCCGCAAGTGGATATTTGGACCGCTTTGAGACCTTTGCTGGAAATGGGAATATCTTCACATATAAACTAGACGGAAGCATTCTCAGAAACTTCTTCGTGATGTGTGCATTCTACTCCCAGATTTGAATCTTCCTTCTCATGAAGCAGTTTTGAAACACTCTATTTGTGCAAGCTACAATTGGATAATTGGAACGCTTTGATGCCCATGGTAGAGAAGGAAATATCCTCATATAAAAACTAGACAGAAGGATTCACAGAAAATGCTTTGTGATGTGTGCATTCAAATCACGGAGTTGAATATTTCTTTTGTTAGAGCAGTTTTGAAACACTGTTTCTGTGGAATCTGCCAGCGGACACTTGGAGCGCTTTGAGGGCTATGGTGGAGAAGGAAATATCTTCACATAAAAACTAGAAAGAAGCATTCTCAGAACCATTTATGTGAAGCGTGCGTTCAACTCACAGAGTTGAACCTTCCTTTTGATAGAACAGTTTTGAAACACTCTTTTGAACAATTGCAGGTGAATATTTGGAGGGCTTTGAAGCCTTTGTTGGAAATGGGAATATCGTCACACACAAACTAGCCAGAAGCATTCTCGGAAACTTCTTTGTGATGTGTGCGTTGAACCCAGAGAGATGAACCTTTCCTTTGATAGAGCAGTTTTGAAACGTGTTTTTGTAAGATCTGCAAGCAGATAATTGGCTTCGCTTTGTGTCCTTTGGTGGAAACGGGAATATCTTCTAATAAAAACTAGACAGAAATATTCTCAGAATCTTCTTTGTGATGTGGGCATTCAACTAACACAGTTGAACGTTTCTTTTCACAGAGCAGTTTTGAAACACTCTTTTGGTAGAATCTGCCAGTGGATATTTGGAGCGCTTTGAGGGCTATTGTGCCAACGAAAATATCTGCCCCTAAAAACTAGACAGAAGCATTCTCAGAAACTGCTTTGTGATGTTTGCATTCAACTCACAGAGTTGAACCTACCTTTTCATAGAGCAGTTTTGAAAACCTCTTTTTGTAGAATCTGCAAGAGGATATTCGGACCACTTTGAGGCCTTCATAGGAAACAGTAATATCTTCACATAAAAACTAGATAGAAGCATTGTCAGAAAGTTCTTTGTGATGTGTGAATTCAACTCACAGAGTTGAACCTTCCTTTAATAGAGCAGTTGTGAAACACTCTTTTTCTAGAATCTGCAAGTAGATATTTGGAGCGCTTTGAGGCCTTCGTTGGAAACCGGAATATCTTCACAGGAAAATTAGATAGAGGCATTCTCAGAAACTTTTTTTGTGATATGTAGATTCAACTCACAGTGTTGAACCTTTCTTTGGATGGAGCAGTTTTGAAAAACTCTTTTATCGAATCTGCAGGTAGACATTTGGGGTGCTTTGAGGGCTGTGGTGCAAAAGGAAATGTCTTCTCATAGAAACTAGACTGAAGCATTCTCAGCAACTTCTTTGTGACGTTTGCATTCATCTCACAGTGTTGAACATACCTTTTCATAGAGTAGTTTTGAAACACTATTTTTGTAGAATCTGCAAGTGGATATTTGGACTGCTCTGAGGCCTTCATCGGAAACGGGAATATCTTCACATAAACACTAGACAGAAGCATTCTCAGAAACTTCTTTGTCATCTGTCCATTCAACTCACAGAGTTGAACCTTCCTTTTTATGGAGCAGTTTTGAAACACTCCTTTTGGAGAATCTGCAAATGGATATTTGGAGCGCTTTGAGGCCTATGGTAGAAAAAGAAATATCTGCCTCTAAAAACCAGACAGAAGCATTCTGAGAAACTTCTTTGTGATGTTTGCATTCAACTACCAGAGTTGAACCTTCCTTTTGATAGGGCAGTTTGGAAACACTCTTTTTGTAGAATCTGCATGTGGATATCTGGAGCGATTTGAGGCCTACGGTCAAAAAGGAAATATCTTCCTGGGAAAAATAGATGAAAGCATTCTCAGAAACTGCTTTGTGATATGTGCATTCCACTCACCGAGTTGAAACTTTTTTTTGATAGAGCAGTTTTGAAACACTCTGTAGAATCTGAAAGTGGATATTTGGAGCTCTTTGAGGGCTATGGCGGAAAAGAAAATATATTCACATTAAAGTAGACAGCAGCGTTCTCAGAAACTTCTTTAAGATGTTTGCAGTAAACTCACAGAGTTGAACATACCTTTCCGTAGAGCAGTTTTGAAACACTCTGTTTGTGGGATCCGCAAGTGGATATTTGGACCGCTTTGAGACCTTTGCTGGAAATGGGAATATCTGCACATTTAAACTAGACAGAAGCATTCTCAGAAACTTCTTCGTGATGTGTGCATTCTACTCCCGAATGTGAATCTTCCTTTTCATGAAGCAGTTTTGAAACACTCTGTTTCTGCAATCCACAATTGGATAATTGGAACGCTTTGATGCCCATGGTAGAAAAGGAAATATCTTCATATAAAAACTAGACAGAAGGATTCACAGAAAATGCTTTGTGATGTGTGCATTCAAATCACGGAGTTGAATCTTTCTTTTGTGAGAGCAGTTTTGAAACACTGTTTCTGTGGAATCTGCCAGCGGACACTTGGAGCGCTTTTAGGGCTATGGTGGAGAAGGAAATATCTTCCCATAAAAACTAGAAAGAAGCATTCTCAGAACCATTTATGTGAAGCGTGCATTCAACTCACAGAGTTGAACCTTCCTTTTGATAGAACAGTTTTGAAACACTCTTTTGAACAATTGCAGGTGAATCTTTGGAGGGCTTTGAAGCCTTTGTTGGAAATGGGAATATCTTCACACACAAACTAGCCAGAAGCATTCTCAGAAACTTCTTTGTGATGTGTGCGTTGAACCCAGAGAGATGAACCATTCCTTTGATAGAGCAGTTTTGAAACGTGTTTTTGTAAGATCTGCAAGCGGATAGTTGGCTTCGGCTTTGTGTCCTTTGGTGGAAACGGGAATATCTTCTAATAAAAACTAGACAGAAAATATTCTCAGAATCTCCTTTGTGATGTGGGCATTCAACTTACACAGTTGAACATTTCTTTTCACAGAGCAGTTTTGAAACACTCTTTTGGTAGAATCTGCCAGTGGATATTTGGAGCGCTTGGAGGGCTATTGTGCCAATGGAAATATCTGCCCCTGAAAACTAGACAGAAGCATTCTCAGAAACTACTTCGTGATGTTTGCATTCAACACACAGAGTTGAACATACCTCTTCACAGAGCAGTTTTGAAAACCTCTTTCTGTAGAATCTGCAAGTGGATATTCAGACCACTTTGAGGCCTTCATAGGAAACAGTAATATCTTCACATAAAAACTAGATAGAAGCATTGTCAGAAAGTTCTTTGTGATGTGTGAATTCAACTCACAGAGTTGAACCTTCCTTTAATAGAGCAGTTTTGAAACACTCTTTTTCTAGAATCTGCAAGTAGATATTTGGAGCGCTTGGAGGCCTTCGTTGGAAACCGGAATATCTTCACAGGAAAAGTAGATAGAGGCATTCTCAGAATCTTTTTCGTGTTATGTGGATTCAACTCACAGCGTTGAACCTTTCTTTTGATAGAGCAGTTTTGTAAAACTCTTTTATCGAATCTGCAAGTAGACATTTGGAGTGCTTTCAGGGCTGTGGTGCAAAAGGAAATGTCTTCCCATAGAAACTAGACTGAAGCATTCTCAGCAACTTCTTGGTGACGTTTGCATTCATCTCACAGTGTTGAACATACCTTTCCATAGAGTGGTTTTGAAACACTGTTTTTGTAGAATCGGCAAGTGGATATTTGGACTGCTTTGAGGCCTTCATCGGAAACGGGAATATCTTCACATAAACATAGAGAGAAGCATTCTCAGGAAACTTCTTTGTGATCTGTCCATTCAACTCACAGAGTTGAACCTTCCTTTTTATGGAGCAGTTTTGAAACACTGTTTGTGGAGAATCTGCAAGTGGATATTTGGAGCGCCTTGAGGCCAATGGTAGAAAAAGAAATATCTGCCTCTAAATACTAGACTGAAGCATTCCGAGAAACTTCTTTGTGATGTTTGCATTCAACTAGCAGAGTTGAACCTTCCTTTTGATAGGGCAGTTTGGGAACACTCTTTTTGTAAAATCTGCATGTGGATATCTGGAGCGGTTTGAGGCCTACGGTCAAAAAGGAAATATCTTCCTGAGAAAAATAGACGAAAGCATTCTCAGAAACTGCTTTGTGATATGTGCATTCGACTCACCGAGTTGAAACTTTTTTTTGATAGAGCAGTTTTGAAACACTCTGTAGAATCTGAAAGTGGATATTTGGAGCTCGTTGAGGGCTATGGCGGAAAAGAAAAGATATTCACATTAAACTAGACAGCAGCATTCTCAGAAACTTCTTTAGGATGTTTGCAGTAAACTCACAGAGTTGAACATACCTTTCCGTAGAGCAGTTTTGAAACACTCTGTTTGTGGGATCCGCAAGTGGATATTTGGACCGCTTTGAGACCTTTGCTGCAAATGGGGATATCTTCACGTATAAACTAGACAGAAGCATTCTCAGAAACTTCTTCGTGATGTGTGCAGTCTACTCCCGAATTTGAATCTTCCTTTTCATGAAGCAGTTTTGAAACACTCTGTTTGTGCAATCCACAATTGGATAATTGGAACGCTTTGATGCCCATGGTAGAAAAGGAAATATCCTCATATAAAAACTAGACAGAAGGATTCACAGAAAATGCTTTGTGATGTGTGCATTCAAATCACGGAGTTGAATCTTTCTTTTGTCAGACCAGTTTTGAAACACTGTTTCTGTGGAATCTGCCAGCGGACACTTGGAGCGCTTTGAGGGCTATGGTGGAGAAGGAAATATCTTCCCCTAAAAACTAGAAAGAAGCATTCTCGGAAACATTTATGTGAAGCGTGCATTCAACTCACAGAGTTGAACCTTCCTTTTGATAGAACAGTTTTGAAACACTCTTTTGAACAATTGCAGGGGAATCTTTGGAGCGCTTTGAAGCCTTTGTTGGAAATGGGAATATCTTCACACACAAACTAGCCAGAAGCATTCTCAGAAACTTCTTTGTGATGTGTGCGTTGAACCCAGAGAGATGAACCTTTCCTTTGATAGAGCAGTTTTGAAACGTGTTTTTGTAAGATCTGTAAGCGGATAGTTGGCTTCGCTTTGTGTCCTTTGGTGGAAACGGGAATATCTTCTAATAAAAACTAGACAGAAATATTCTCACAATCTCCTTTGTGATGTGGGCATTCAACTAACACAGTTGAACATGTCTTTTCACAGAGCAGTTTTGAAACACTCTTTTGGTAGTATCTGCCAGTGGATATTTGGAGCGCTTTGAGGGCTGTTGTGCCAATGGAAATATCTGCCCTTAAAATCTAGACAGAAGCATTCTCAGAAACTACTTCGTGATGTCTGCATTCAACACACAGAGTTGAACATACCTCTTCACAGAGCAGTTTTGAAAACCTCTTTCTGTAGAATCTGCAAGTGGATATTCGGACCACTTTGAGCCCTTCATAGGAAACAGTAATATCTTCACATAAAAACTAGATAGAAGCATAGTCAGAAAGTTCTTTGTGATGTGTGAATTCAAATCACAGAGTTGAACCTTCCTTTAATAGAGCAGTTTTGAAACACTCTTTTTCTAGAATCTGCAAGTAGATATTTGGAGCGCTTTGAGGCCTTCGTTGGAAACCGGAATATCTTCACATAAAAAGCAGATAGTGGCATGCTCAGAAACTTTTTTGTCATATGTAGATTCAACTCACAACGTTGAACCTTTCTTTTGATAGAGCAGTTTTGAAAAACTCTTTTATCGAATCTGCAAGTAGACATTTGGAGTGCTTTGAGGGCTGTGGTGCAAAAGGAAATGTCTTCCCATAGAAACTAGACTGAAGCATTCTCAGCAACTTCTTGGTGACGTTTGCATGCATCTCACAGTGTTGAACATACCTTTGCATAGAGCGGTTTTGAAACACTATTTTTGTAGAATCTGCAAGTGGATATTTGGACTGCTTTGAGGCCTTCATCGGAAACGGGAATATCTTCACATAAACACTAGACAGAAGCATTCTCAGAAACTTCTTTGTGGTCTGTCCATTCATCTCACAGAGTTGAACCTTCTTTTTTATGGAGCAGTTTTGAAACACTGTTTTCGGAGAATCTGCAAGTGGATATTTGGAGCGCTTTGAGGCCTATGGTAGAAAAAGAAATATCTGCCTATGACAACTAGACAGAAGCATTCCGAGAAACTTCTTTGTGATGTTTGCATTCAACTAGCAGAGGTGAACCTTCCTTTTGATAGGGCAGTTTGGAAACACTCTTTTTGTAGAATCTGCATGTGGATATCTGGAGCGGTTTGAGGCCTACGGTCAAAAAGGAAATATCTTCCTGGGAAAAATAGACGAAAGCATTCTCAGAAACTGCTTTGTGATATGTGCATTCCACTCACCGAGTTGAAACTTTTTTTTGATAGAGCAGTTTTGAAACACTCTGTAGAATCTGAAAGTGGATATTTGGAGCTCTTTGAGGGCTATGGCGGAAAAGAAAATATATTCACATTAGACTAGAGAGGAGCATTCTCAGAAACTTCTTTAGGATGTTTGCAGTAAACTCACAGAGTTGAACATAAATTTCCGTAGAGCAGTTTTGAAACACTCTGTTTGTGGGATCCGCAAGGGGATATTTGGACCGCTTTGAGACCTTTGCTGGAAATGGGAATATCTTCACATATAAACTAGACAGAAGCATTCTCAGAAACTTCTTCGTGATGTGTGCATTCTACTCCCAAATTTGAATCTTCCTTTTCATGAAGCAGTTTTGAAACACTCTATTTGTAGAATCTACAATTGGATATTTGGAACTCTTTGATGCCCATGGTAGAAAAGGAAATATCCTCATATAAAAACTAGACAGAAGGATTCACAGAAAATGCTTTGTGATGTGTGCATTCATATCACGGAGTTGAACCTTTCTCTTGCTAGAGCAGTTTTGAAACACTGTCTCTGTGGAATCTGCCTGCGGACACTTGGAGCGCTTTGAGGGCTATGGTAGAGAAGGAAATATCTTCAGATAAAAACTAGAAAGAAGAATTCTCAGAACCATTTATGTGAAGCGTGCATTCAACTCACAGAGTTGAACCTTCCTTTTGATAGAACAGTTTTGAAACACTCTTTTGAACAATTGCAGGTGAATATTTGGAGGGCTTTGAAGCCTTTGTTGGAAACGGGAATATCTTCACACACGAACTAGCCAGAAGCATTCTCACAAACTTCTTTGTGATGTGTGCGTTGAACCCAGAGAGATGAACCTTTCCTTTGATAGAGCAGTTTTGAAACGTGTTTTTGTAAGATCTGCAAGCGGATAATTGGCTTCGCTTTGTGTCCTTTGGTGGAAACGGGAATATCTTCTAATAAAAACTAGACAGAAATATTCTCAGAATCTCCTTTGTGATGTGGGCATTCAACTAACACAGTTGAACATTTCTTTTCACAGAGCAGTTTTGAAACACTCTTTTGGTAGAATCTGCCAGTGGATATTTGGAGCGCTTGGAGGGCTATTGTGCCAATGGAAATATCTGCCCCTGAAATCTGGACAGAAGCATTCTCAGAAACTACGTTGTGATGTTTGCATTCAACTCACAGTGTTGAACATACCTCTTCATAGAGCAGTTTTGAAAACCTCTTTTGGTAGAATCTGCAAGTGGATATTTGGACCACTTTGAGGTCTTCATAGGAAACAGTAATATCTTCACATAAAAACTAGATGGAAGCATTGTCAGAAAGTTCTTTGTGATGTGTGAATTCAACTCACAGAGTTGAACCTTCCTTTAATAGAGCAGTTGTGAAACACTCTTTTTCTAGAATCTGCAGGTAGATATGTGGAGCGCTTTGAGGCCTTCGTTGGAAACCGGAATATCTTCACAGGAAAAGTAGATAGAGGCATTCTCAGAAACTTTTTTGTGATATGTAGATTCAACTCACAGCGTTGAACCTTTCTTTGGATGGAGCAGTTTTGAAAATCCCTTTTATCGAATCTGCAGGTAGACATTTGGGGTGCTTTGAGGGCTGTGGTGCAAAAGGAAATGTCTTCCCATAGAAACTAGACTGCAGCCTTCTCAGCAACTTCTTTGTGACGTTTGCATTCATCTCACAGTGTTGAACATACCTTTCCATAGAGTAGTTTTGAAGCACTATTTTTGTAGAATCTGCAAGTGGATATTTGGACTGCTTTGAGGCCTTCATCGGAAACGGGAATATCTTCACATAAACACTAGACAGAAGCATTCTCAGAAACTTCTTTGTCATCTGTCCATTCAACTCACAGAGTTGAAACTTCCTTTTTATGGAGCAGTTTTGAAACACTCCTTTTGGAGAATCTGCAGGTGGATATTTGGAGCGCTTTGAGGCCTATGGTAGAAAAAGAAATATCTGCCTCTAAAAACCAGACAGAAGCATTCCGAGAAACTTCTTTGTGATGTTTGCATTCAACTAGCAGAGTTGAACCTTCCTTTTGATAGGGCAGTTTGGATACACTCTTTTTGTAGAATCTGCATGTGGATATCTGGAGCGGTTTGAGGCCTACGGTCAAAAAGGAAATATCTTCCTGGGAAAAATAGACGAAAACATTCTCAGAAAGTGCTTTGTGATATGTGCATTCGACTCACCGAGTTGAAACTTTTTTTTGATAGAGCAGTTTTGAAACACTCTGTAGAATCTGAAAGTGGATATTTGGAGCTCTTTGAGGGCTATGGCGGAAAAGAAAATATATTCACATTAAAGTAGACAGCAGCATTCTCAGAAACTTCTTTAGGATGTTTGCAGTAAACTCACAGAGTTGAACTTACCTTTCCGTAGAGCAGTTTTGAAACACTCTGTTTGTGGGATCCGCAAGTGGATATTTGGACCGCTTTGAGACCTTTGCTGGAAATGGGAATATCTTCACATATAAACTAGACAGAAGCATTCTCAGAAACTTCTTGGTGATGTGTGCATTGTACTCCCAAATTTGAATCTTCCTTCTCATGGAGCAGTTTTGAAACACTCTGTTTGTGCAATCTACAATTGGAGAATTGGAACGCTTGGATGCCCGTGGTAGAAAAAGAAATATCCTCATATAAAAACTAGACAGAAGGATTCACAGAAAATCCTTTGTGATGTGTGCATTCAAATCACGGAGTTGAATCTTTCTTTTGTCAGAGCAGTTTTGAAACACTGTTTCTGTGGAATCTGCCAGCGGACACTTGGAGCGCTTTGAGGGCTGTGGTGGAGAAGGAAATATCTTCCCATAAAAACTAGAAAGAAGCATTCTCAGAGCCATTTATGTGAAGCGTGCATTCAACTCACAGAGTTGAACCTTCCTTTTGATAGAACAGTTTTTAAACACTCTTTTGAACAATTGCACGTGAATATTTGGAGGGCTTTGAAGCCTTTGTTGGAAATGGGAATATCTTCACACACAAACTAGCCAGAAGCATTCTCAGAAACTTCTTTGTGATGTGTGCGTTGAACCCAGAGAGATGAACCTTTCCTTTGAAAGAGCAGTTTTGAAACGTGTTTTTGTAAGATCTGCAAGCGGATAGTTGGCTTCGCTTTGTGTCCTTTGGTGGAAACGGGAATATCTTCTAATAAAATCTAGACAGAAATATTCTCAGAATCTTCTTTGTGATGTGGGCATTCAACTAACACAGTTGAACGTTTCTTTGCACAGAGCAGTTTTGAAACACTCTTTTGGTAGAATCTGCCAGTGGATATTTGGAGCGCTTTGAGGGCTATTGTGCCAACGGAAATATCTGCCCCTAAAAACTAGACAGAAGCATTCTCAGAAACTGCTTTGTGATGTTTGCATTCAACTCACAGACTTGAACATACCTCTGCATAGAGCACTTTTGGAAACCTCTTTTTGTAGAATCTGCAAGTGGATATTCGGAACACTCTGAGGCCTTCATAGGAAACAGTAATATCTTCACATAAAAAATAGATAAAAGCATTGTCAGAAAGTTCTTTGTGATGTGTGAATTCAACTCACAGAGTTGAACCTTCCTTTCATAGAGCAGTTTTGAAACACTCTTTTTCTAGAATCTGCAAGTAGATATTTAGAGCGCTTTGAGGCCTTCGTTGGAAACCGGACTATCTTCACGTAAAAAGTAGATAGAGGCATTCTCAGAAAACTTTTTTGTGATATGTAGATTCCACTCACAGCGTTGAACCTTTCTTTTGATAGAGCAGTTTTGAAAAATTCTTTTATCGAATCTGCAAGTAGACATTTGGGGTGCTTTGAGGGCTGTGGTGCAAAAGGAAATGTCTTCCCATGGAAACTAGACTGAAGCATTCTCAGCAACTTCTTCGTGAGGTTTGCACTCATCTCACAGTGTTGAACAGACCTTTCCATAGAGTAGTTTTGAAACACTATTTTTGTAGAATCTGCAACTGGATATTTGGACTGCTTTGAGGCCTTCATCGGAAACGGGAATATCTTCACATAAACACTAGAGAGAAGCATTCTCAGAAACTTCTTTGTCATCTGTCCATTCAACTCACAGAGTTGAACCTACCTTTTTATGGAGCAGTTTTGAAACACTCCTTTTGGAGAATCTGCAAGTGGATATTTGGAGCGCTTTGAGGCCTATGGTAGAAAAAGAAATATCTGCCTCTAAAAACCAGACAGAAGCATTCTGAGAAAAGTTCTTTGTGATGTTTGCATTCAACTAGGCAGAGTTGAACCTTCCTTTTGATAGGGCAGTTTGGAAACACTCTTTTTGTAGAATCTTCATGTGGATATCTGGAGCGGTTTGAGGCCTACGGTCAAAAAGGAAATATCTTCCTGGGAAAAATAGACGAAAGCATTCTCAGAAAGGGCTTTGTGATATGCGCATTCGACTCACCGAGTTGAAACTTTTTTTTGATACAGCAGTTTTGTAACACTCTGTAGAATCTGAAAGTGGATATTTGGAGCTCTTTGAGGGCTATGGCGGAAAAGAAAATATATTCACATTAAAGTAGACAGCAGCATTCTCAGAAACTTCTTTATGATGTTTGCATCAAACTCACAGAGTTGAACATACCTTTCCATAGAGCAGTTTTGAAACACTCTTTTTGTGGAATCCGCAAGTGGATATTTGGACCGCTTTGAGACCTTCGCTGGAAATGGGAATATCTTCACATATAAACTGGACTGAAGCATTCTCAGAAACTTCTTCGTGATGTGTGCATTCTACTCCCAAATATGAATCTTCCTTTTCATGAAGCAGTTTTGAAACACTCTATTTGTGCATTCTACAATTGGATGATTGGAACGCTTTGATGTCCATGGTAGAAAAGGAAATATCCTCATATAAAAACTAGACAGAAGGATTCACAGAAAATGTTTTGTGATGTGGGCATTCAAATCACGGAGTTGAATCTTTCTTTTGTTAGAGCAGTTTTGAAACACTGTTTCTGTGGAATCTGCCAGCAGACACTTGGAGCGCTTTGAGGGCTGTGGTGGAGAAGGAAATATCTTCCCATAAAAACTAGAAAGAAGCATTCTCAGAAACATTTATGTGAAGCGTGCATTCAACTCACAGAGTTGAACCTTCCTTTTGATAGAACAGTTTTGAAACACTCTTTTGAACAATTGCAGGTGAATCTTTGGAGCGCTTTGAAGCCTTTGTTGGAAATGGGAATATCTTCACACACAAACTAGCCAGAAGCATTCTCAGAAACTTCTTTGTGATGTGTGTGTTGAACCCAGAGAGATGAACCTTTCCTTTGATAGAGCAGTTTTGAAACGTGTTTTTGTAAGATCTGCAAGCGGATAATTGGCTTCGCTTTGTGTCCTTTGGTGGAAACGGGAATATCTTCTAATAAAAACTAGACAGAAATATTCTCAGAATCTTCTTTGTGATGTGGGCATTCAGCTAACACAGTTGAACGTTTCTTTTCACAGAGCAGTTTTGAAACACTCTTTTGGTAGAATCTGCCAGTGGATATTTGGAGCGCTTTGAGGGCTAATGTGCCAATGGAAATATCTGCCCCTAAAAACTAGACAGAAGCATTCTCAGAAACTACATTGTGATGTTTGCATTCGACTCACAGAGTTGAACATACCTCTTCATAGAGCAGTTTTTAAAACCTTTTTTGTAGAACCTGAAAGTTGATATTCGGACCACTTTGAAGCCTTCATAGGAAACAGTAATATCTTCACATAAAACCTAGATAGAAGCATTGTCAGAAAGTTCTTTGTGATGTGTGAATTCAACTCACAGAGTTGAACCTTCCTTTAATAGAGCAGTTTTGAAACACTCTTTTTCTAGAATCTGCCAGTAGATAATTGGAGCGCTTTGAGGCCTTCGTTGGAAACCGGAATATCTTCACATAAAAAGTAGATAGAGGCATTCTCAGAAACTTTTTCGTGATATGTGGATTCAACTCACAGCGTTGAAACTTTCTTTTGATAGAGCAGTTTTGTAAAACTCTTTTATCGAATCTGCAAGTAGACATTTGGAGTGCTTTGAGGGCTGTGGTGCAAAAGGAAATGTCTTCCCATAGAAACTAGACTGAAGCATTCTCAGCAACTTCTTTGTGACGTTTGCATTCAAATCACAGTGTTGAACATACCTTTGCATAGAGTAGTTTTGAAACACTATTTTTGTAGAATCTGCAAGTGGATATTTGGACTGCTTTGAGGCCTTCATCGGAAACGGGAATATCTTCACATAAACACTGGACAGAAGCATTCTCAGAAACTTCTTTGTGGTCTGTCCATTCAACTCACAGAGTTGAACCTTCCTTTTTATGGAGCAGTTTTGAAACACTGTTTTTGGAGAATCTGCAAGTGGATATTTGGAGCGCTTTGAGGCCTATGGTAGAAAAAGAAATATCTGCCTATGACAACTAGACAGAAGCATTCCGAGAAACTTCTTTGTGATGTTTGCATTCAACTAGCAGAGTTGAACCTTCCTTTTGGTAGGGCAGTTTGGAAACACTCTTTTTGTAGAATCTGCATGTGGATATCTGGAGCGGTTTGAGGCCTACGGTCAAAAAGGAAATATCTTCCTGGGAAAAATAGACGAAAGCATTCTCAGAAAGTGCTTTGTGATATGTGCATTCGACTCACCGAGTTGAAACTTTTTTTTGATAGAGCAGTTTTGAAACACTCTGTAGAATCTGAAAGTGGATATTTGGAGCTCTTTGAGGGCTATGGCGGAAAAGAAAATATATTCACATTAAAAAAGTAGACAGCAGCATTCTCAGAAACTTCTTTAGGATGTTTGCAGTAAACTCACAGAGTTGAACATACCTTTCCGTAGAGCAGTTTTGAAACACTCTGTTTGTGGGATCCGCAAGTGGATATTTGGACCCCTTTGAGACCTTTGCTGGAAACGGGAATATCTTCACATATAAACTAGACAGAAGCATTCTCAGAAACTTCTTCGTGATGTGTGCATTGTACTCCCAAATTTGAATCTTCCTTCTCATGGAGCAGTTTTGAAACACTCTGTTTGTGCAATCTACAATTGGAGAATTGGAAGGCTTGGATGCCCGTGGTAGAAAAGGAAATATCCTCATATAAAAACTAGACAGAAGGATTCACAGAAAATGCTTTGTGATGTGTGCATTCAAATCGCGGAGTTGAATCTTTCTTTTGTTAGAGCAGTTTTGAAACACTGTTTCTGTGGAATCTGCCAGCGGACACTTGGAGCGCTTTGAGGGCTATGGTGGAGAAGGAAATATGTTCACATAAAAACTAGAAAGAAGCATTCTCAGAAACATTTATGTGAAGCGTGCATTCAACTCACAGAGTTGAACCTTCCTTTCGATACAACAGTTTTGAAACACTCTTTTGAACAATTGCAGGTGAATCTTTGGAGCGCTTTGAAGCCTTTGTTGGAAATGGGAATATCTTCACACACAAACTAGCCAGAAGCATTCTCAGAAACTTCTTTGTGATGTGTGCGTTGAACCCAGAGAGATGAACCTTTCCTTGGATAGAGCAGTTTTGAAACGTGTTTTTGTAAGATCTGCAAGCGGATAATTGGCTTCGCTTTGTGTCCTTTGGTGGAAACGGGAATATCTTCTGATAAAAACTAGACAGAAATATTCTCAGAATCTCCCTTTGTGATGTGGGCATTCAACTAACACAGTTGAACATTTCTTTTCACAGAGCAGTTTTGAAACACTCTTTTGGTAGAATCTGCCAGTGGATATTTGGAGCGCTTGGAGGGCTATTGTGCCAATGGAAATATCTGCCCCTGAAAACTAGACAGAAGCATTCTCAGAAACTGCTTCGGGATGTTTGCATTCAACTCACAGAGTTGAACATACCTCTGCATAGAGCAGTTTTGAAAACCTCTTTTTGTAGAATCTGCAAGTGGATATTCGGACCACTTTGAGGCCTTCATAGGAAACAGTAATATCTTCACATAAAAACTAGATAGAAGCATTGTCAGAAAGTTCTTTGTGATGTGTGAATTCAACTCACAGAGTTGAACCTTCCTTTAATAGAGCAGTTTTGAAACACTCTTTTTCTAGAATCTGCCAGTAGATATTTGGAGCGCTTTGAGGCCTTCGTTGGAAACAGGAATATCTTCACATAAAAAGTAGATAGAGGCATTCTCAGAAACTTTTTTGTGATATGTAGATTCAACTCACAGCGTTGAACCTTTCTTTGGATGGAGCAGTTTTGAAAAACTCTTTTATCGAATCTGCAGTTAGACATTTGGGGTGCTTTGAGGGCTGTGGTGCAAAAGGAAATGTCTTCCCATAGAAACTAGACTGAAGCATTCTCAGCAACTTCTTGGTGACGTTTGCATTCATCTCACAGTGTTGAACATACCTTTCCATAGAGTGGTTTTGAATCACTGTTTTTGTAGAATCGGCAAGTGGATATTTGGACTGCTTTGAGGCCTTCATCGGAAACGGGAATATCTTCACATAAACACTAGAGAGAAGCATTCTCAGAAACTTCTTTGTCATCTGTCCATTCAACTCACAGAGTTGAACCTTCCTTTTTCTGGAGCAGTTTTGAAACACTCTTTTTGGAGAATCTGCAAGTGGATATTTGGAGCGCTTTGAGGCCTATGGTAGAAAAAGAAATATCTGCCCCTAAACACCAGACAGAAGCATTCCGAGAAACTTCTCTGTGATGTTTGCCTTCAACTAGCAGAGTTGAACCTTCCTTTTGATAGGGCAGTTTGGAAACACTCTTTTTGTAGAATCTGCATGTGGATATATGGAGCGGTTTGAGGCCTACGGTCAAAAAGGAAATATCTTCCTGGGATAAATAGACGAAAGCATTCTCAGAAACTGCTTTGTGATATGTGCATTCGACTCACCGAGTTGAAAATTTTTTTTGATAGAGCAGTTTTGAAACACTCTGTAGAATCTGAAAGTGGATATTTGGAGCTCTTTGAGGGCTACGGCGGCAAAGAAACTATATTCACATTAAAGTAGACAGCAGCATTCTCAGAAACTTCTTTAGGATGTTTGCAGTAAACTCACAGAGTTGAACATACCTTTCCGTAGAGCAGTTTTGAAACACTCTGTTTGTGGGATCCGCAAGTGGATATTTGGACCGCTTTGACACCTTTGCTGGAAATGGGAATATCTTCACATATAAACTAGACAGAAGCATTCTCAGAAACTTCTTCGTGATGTGTGCATTCTACTCCCAAATTTGAATCTTCCTTTTCATGAAGCAGTTTTGAAACACTCTGTTTGTGCATTCTACAATTGGATGATTGGAACGCTTTGATGTCCATGGTAGAAAAGGAAATATCCTCATATAAAAACTAGACAGAAGGATTCACAGAAAATGCTTTGTGATGTGTGCATTCAAATCACGGAGTTGAATCTTTCTTTTGTCAGAGCAGTTTTGAAACACTGTTTCTGTGGAATCTACCAGCGGACACTTGGAGCGCTTTGAGGGCTATGGTGGAGAAGGAAATATCTTCACATAAAAACTAGAAAGAAGCATTCTCGGAAACATTTATGTGAAGCGTGCCTTCAACTCACAGAGTTGAACCTTCCTTTTGATAGAACAGTTTTGAAACACTCTTTTGAACAATTGCAGGTGAATCTTTGGAGCGCTTTGAAGCCTTTGTTGGAAATGGGAATATCTTCACACACAAACTAGCCAGAAGAATTCTCAGAAACTTCTTTGTGATGTGTGCGTTGAACCCAGAGAGATGAACCTTTCCTTTGATAGAGCAGTTTTGAAACGTGTTTTTGTAAGATCGGCAAGCGGATAATTGGCTTCGCTTTGTGTCCTTTGGTGGAAACGGGAATATCTTCTAATAAAAACTAGACAGAAATATTCTCAGAATCTCCTTTGTGATGTGGGCATTCAACTAACACAGTTGAACATTTCTTTTCACAGAGCAGTTTTGAAACACTCTTTTGGTAGAATCTGCATGTGGATATTTGGAGCGCTTGGAGGACTATTGTGCCAATGGAAATATCTGCCCCTGAAAACTAGACAGAAGCATTCTCAGAAACTGCTTCGTGATGTTTGCATTCAACTCACAGACTTGAACATACCTCTGCATAGAGCAGTTTTGAAAACCTCTTTTTGTAGAATCTGCAAGTGGATATTCGGACCACTCTGAGGCCTTCATAGGAAACAGTAATATCTTCACATAAAAACTAGATAGAAGCATTGTCAGAAAGTTCTTTGTGATGTGTGAATTCAACTCACAGAGTTGAACCTTCCTTTAATAGAGCAGTTTTGAAACACTCTTTTTCTAGAATCTGCTAGTAGATATTTGGAGTGCTTGGAGGCCTTCTTTGGAAACCGGAATATCTTCACAGGAAATGTAGATAGAGGCATTCTCAGAAACTTTTTTGTGATATGTAGTTTCAACTCACAGCGTTGAACCTTTCTTTTGATAGAGCAGTTTTGAAAAACTCTTTTATCGAATCTGCCAGTAGACCTTTGGAGTGCTTTGAGGGCTGTGGTGCAAAAGGAAATGTCTTCCCATAGAAACTAGACTGAAGCATTCTCAGCAACTTCTTGGTGACGTTTGCATTCATCTCACAGTGTTGAACATACCTTTCCATAGAGTAGTTTTGAAACACTGTTTTTGTAGAATCGGTAAGTGAATATTTGGACTGCTTTGAGGCCTTCATCGGAAACGGGAATATCTTCACATAAACACTAGAGAGAAGCATTGTCGGAAACTTCTTTGTGATCTGTCCGTTCAACTCACAGAGTTGAACCTTCCTTTTTATGGAGCAGTTTTGAAACACTGTTTGTGGAGAATCTGCAAGTGGATATTTGGAGCGCCTTGAGGCCAATGGTAGAAAAAGAAATATCTGCCTCTAAATACTAGACTGAAGCATTCTGAGAAACTTCTTTGTGATGGTTGCATGCAACTACAAGAGTTGAACCTTCCTTTTGATAGGGCAGTTTGGAAACACTCTTTTTGTAGAATCTGCATGTGGATATCTGGAGCGATTTGAGGCCTATGGTCAAAAAGGAAATATTTTCCTGGGAAAAATAGACGAAAGCATTCTCAGAAAGTGCTTTGTGATATGTGCATTCGACTCACCGAGTTGAAACTTTTTTTTGATAGAGAAGTTTTGAAACACTCTGTAGAATCTGAAAGTGGATATTTGGAGCTCTTTGAGGGCTATGGCGGAAAAGAAAATATATTCACATTAAAAAAGTAGACAGCAGCATTCTCAGAAACTTCTTTAGGATGTCTGCAGTAAACTCACAGAGTTGAACATACCTTTCCGTAGAGCAGTTTTGAAACACTCTGTTTGTGGGATCCACAAGTGGATATTTGGACAGCTTTGAGATCTTTGCTGGAAATGGGAATATCTTCACATATAAACTAGACAGAAGGATTCACAGAAAATGCTTTGTGATGTGTGCATTCAAATCACGGAGTTGAATCTTTCTTTTATTAGAGCAGTTTTGAAACACTCTATTTGTGCAATCTACAATTGGATAATTGGAACCCTTTGATGCCCATGGTAGAAAATGAAATATCCTCATATAAAAACTAGACGGAAGGATTCACAGAAAATGCTTTGTGATGTGTGCATTCAGATCACGGAGTTGAATCTTTCTTTTGTTAGAGCTGTTTTGAAACACTGTTTCTGTGGAATCTGCCAGCGGACACTTGGAGCGCTTTGAGGGCTATGGTGGAGAAGGAAATATCTTCACATAAAAACTAGAAAGAAGCATTCTCAGAAACATTTATGTGAAGCGTGCATTCAACTCACAGAGTTGAACCTTCCTTTTGATACAACAGTTTTGAAACACTCTTTTGAACAATTGCAGGTGTATCTTTGGAGCGCTTTGAAGCCTTTGTTGGAAATGGGAATATCTTCACACACAAACTAGCCAGAAGCATTCTCAGAAACTTCTTTGTGATGTGTGCGTTGAACCCAGAGAGATGAACCTTTCCTTTGATAGAGCAGTTTTGAAACGTGTTTTTGTAAGATCGGCAAGCGGATAATTGGCTTCGCTTTGTGTCCTTTGGTGGAAACTGGCATGTCTTCTAATAAAAACTAGACAGAAATATTCTCAGAATCTCCTTTGTGATGTGGGCATTCAACTAACACAGTTGAACATTACTTTTCACAGAGCAGTTTTGAAACACTCTTTTGGTAGAATCTGCCAGTGGATATTTGGAGCGCTTGGAGGGCTATTGTGCCAATGGAAATATCTGCCCCTGAAAACTAGACAGAAGCATTCTCAGAAACTGCTTCGTGATGTCTGCATTCAACACACAGAGTTGAACATACCTCTTCACAGAGCAGTTTTGAAAACCTCTTTCTGTAGAATCTGCAAGTGGATATTCGGACCACTTTGAGGCCTTCATAGGAAACAGTAATATCTTCACATAAAAACTAGATAGAAGCATTGTCAGAAAGTTCTTTGTGATGTGGGAATTCAACACACAGAGTTGAACCTTCCTTTAATAGAGCAGTTTGAAACACTCTTTTTCTAGAATCTGCCAGTAGATATTTGGAGCGCTTTGAGGCCTTCGTTGGAAACCGGAATATCTTCACATAAAACGTAGATAGAGGCATTCTCAGAAACTTTTTTGTGATATGTAGATTCAACTCACAGCGTTGAACCTTTCTTTGGATGGAGCAGTTTTGAAAAACACTTTTATCGAATCTGCAGGTAGACATTTGGGGTGCTTTGAGGGCTGTGGTGCAAAAGGAAATGTCTTCCCATAGAAACTAGACTGAAGCATTCTCAGCAACTTCTTTGTGACGTTTGCATTCATCTCACAGTGTTAAACATACCTTTCCATAGAGTAGTTTTGAAGCACTATTTTTGTAGAATCTGCAAGTGGATATTTGGAATGCTTTGAGGCCTTCATCGGAAACGGGAATATCTTCACATAAACACTAGACAGAAGCATTCTCAGAAACTTCTTTGTGATCTGTCCATTCAACTCACAGAGTTGAACCTTCCTTTTTATGGAGCAGTTTTGAATCACTGTTTTTGTAGAATCTGCAAGTGGATATTTCGAGCGCTTTGAGGCCTATGGTAGAAAAAGAAATATCTGCCTCTAAAAACCAGACAGAAGCATTCTGAGAAACTTCTTTGTGATGTTTGCATTCAACTACCAGAGTTGAACCTTCCTTTTGATAGGGCAGTTTGGAAACAGTCTTTTTGTAGAATCTGCATGTGGATATCTGGAGCGATTTGAGGCCTACGGTCCAAAAGGAAATATCTTCCTGGGAAAAATAGACGAAAGCATTCTCAGTAAACTGCTTTGTGATATGTGCATTCGACTCACCGAGTTGAAACTTTTTTTTGATAGAGCAGTTTTGAAACACTCTGTAGAATCTGAAAGTGGATATTTGGAGCTCTTTGAGGGCTATGGCGGCAAAGAAACTATATTCACATTAAAGTAGACAGCAGCATTCTCAGAAACTTCTTTAGGATGTTTGCAGTAATCTCACAGAGTTGAACCTACCTTTCCGTAGAGCAGTTTTGAAACACTCTGTTTGTGGGATCCGCAAGTGGATATTTGGACCGCTATGAGACCTTTGCTGGAAATGGGAATATCTTCACATATAAACTAGACAGAAGCATTCTCAGAAACTTCTTGGTGATGTGTGCATTGCACTCCCAATTTTGAATCTTCCTTCTCATGGAGCAGTTTTGAAACACTCTGTTTGTGCAATCTACAATTGGATAATTGGAACGCTTGGATGCCCATGGTAGAAAAGGAAATATCCTCATATAAAAACTAGACAGAAGGATTCACAGAAAATGCTTTGTGATGTGTGCATTCAAATCACGGAGTTGAATCTTTCTTTTGTTAGAGCAGTTTTGAAACACTGTTTCTGTGGAATCTGCCAGCGGACACTAGGAGCGCTTTGAGGGCTACGGTGGAGAAGGAAATATCTTCACACAAAAACTAAAAAGAAGCATTCTCAGAAACATTTATGTGAAGCGTGCATTCAACTCACAGAGTTGAACCTTCCTTTTGATACAACAGTTTTGAAACACTCTTTTGAACAATTGCAGGTGAATCTTTGGAGCGCTTTGAAGCCTTTGTTGGAAATGGGAATATCTTCACACAAACTAGCCAGATGCATTCTCAGAAACTTCTTTGTGATGTGTGCGTTGAACCCAGAGAGATGAACCTTTCCTTTGATAGAGCAGTTTTGAAACGTGTTTTTGTAAGATCGGCAAGCGGATAATTGGCTTCGCTTTGTGTCCTTTGGTGGAAACGGGAATATCTTCTAATAAAATCTAGACAGAGATATTCTCAGAAACTTCTTTGTGATGTGGGCATTCAACTGACACAGTTGAACATTTCTTTTCACAGAGCAGTTTTGAAACACTCTTTTGGTCGAATCTGCCAGTGGATATTTGGAGCGCTTTGAGGGCTATTGTGCCAATGGAAATATCTGCCCCTAAAAACTAGACAGAAGCATTCTCAGAAACTGCTTTGTGATGTTTGCATTCAACTCACAGAGGTGAACATACCTCTTCATAGAGCAGTTTTGAAAACCTCTTTTTGTAGAATCTATAAGTGGATATTCGGACCACTTTGAGGTCTTCATAGGAAACAGTAATATCTTCACATAAAAACTAGAGAGAAGTATTGTCAGAAAGTTCTTTGTGATGTGTGAATTCAACTCACAGAGTTGAACCTTCCTTTAATAGAGCAGTTTTGAAACACTCTTTTTCTAGAATCTGCAAGTAGATATTTGGAGCGCTTTGAGGCCTTCGTTGGAAACTGGAATATCTTCACATAAAAAGTAGATAGAGGCATTCTCAGAAACTTTTTTGTGATATGTAGATTCAACTCACAGCATTGAACCTTTCTTTGGATGGAGCAGTTTTGAAAAACTCTTTTATCGAATCTGCAGGTAGACATTTGGGGTGCTTTGAGGGCTGTGGTGCAAAAGGAAATGTCTTCCCATAGAAACTAGACTGAAGCATTCTCAGCAACTTCTTGGTGACGTTTGCATTCATCTCACAGTGTTGAACATACCTTTCCATAGAGTGGTTTTGAAACACTGTTTTTGTAGAATCGACAAGTGGATATTTGGACTGCTTTGAGGCCTTCATCGGAAACGGGAATATGTTCACATAAACACTAGAGAGAAGCATTCTCAGAAACTTCTTTGTGATCTGTCCATTCAACTCACAGAGTTGAACCTTCCTTTTTATGGAGCAGTTTTGAAACACTGTTTGTGAAGAATCTGCAAGTGGATATTTGGAGCGCCTTGAGGCCAATGGTAGAAAAAGAAATATCTGCCTCTAAATACTAGACTGAAGCATTCTGAGAAACTTCTTTGTGATGTTTGCATTCAACTACCAGAGTTGAACCTTCCTTTTGATAGGGCAGTTTGGAAACACTCATTTTGTAGCATCTGCATGTGGATATCTGGAGCGATTTGAGGCCTACGGTCAAAAAGGAAATATCTTCCTGGGAAAAATAGACGAAAGCATTCTCAGAAACTGCTTTGTGATATGTGCATTCGAATCACCGAGTTCAAACTTTTTTTTCATAGAGCAGTTTTGAAACACTCTGTAGAATCTGAAAGTGGCTATTTGGAACTCTTTGAGGGCTATGGCGGAAAAGAAAATATATTCACATTAAATTAGACAGCAGCATTCTCAGAAACTTCTTTAGGATGTCTGCAGTAAACTCACAGAGTTGAACATACCTTTCCGTAGAGCAGTTTTGAAACACTCTGTGGGATCCACAAGTGGATATTTGGACAGCTTTGAGATCTTTGCTGGAAATGGGAATATCTTCACATATAAACTAGACAGAAGCATTCTCAGAAACTTCTTCGTGATGTGTGCATTGTACTCCCAAATTTGAATCTTCCTTCTCATGGAGCAGTTTTGAAACACTCTGTTTGTGCAATCTACACTTGGATAATTGGAACGCTTGGATGCCCATGGTAGAAAAGGAAATATCGTCATATAAAAACTAGACAGAAGGATTCACAGAAAATGCTTTGTGATGTGTGCATTCAAATCACGGAGTTGAATCTTTCTTTTGTCAGAGCAGTTTTGAAACACTGTTTCTGTGGAATCTGCCAGCGGACACTTTGAGCGCTTTGAGGGCTATGGTAGAGAAGGAAATATCTTCCCATAAAAACTAGAAAGAAGCATTCTCAGAACCATTTATGTGAAGCGTGCGTTCTACTCACAGAGTTGAACCTTCCTTTTGATAGAACAGTTTTGAAACACTCTTTTGAACAATTGCAGGTGAATATTTGGAGGGCTTTGAAGCCTTTGTTGGAAATGGGAATATCTTCACACACAAACTAGCCAGAAGCATTCTCAGAAAATTCTTTGTGATGCGTGCGTTGAACCCAGAGAGATGAACCTTTCCTTTGATAGAGCAGTTTTGAAACGTGTTTTTGTAAGATCTGCAAGCGGATAATTGGCTTCGCTTTGTGTCCTTTGGTGGGAACGGGAATATCTTCTAATAAAAACTAGACAGAAATATTCTCAGAATCTCCTTTGTGATGTGGGCATTCAACTAACACAGTTGAACATTTCTTATCACAGAGCAGTTTTGAAACACTCTTTTGGTAGAATCTGCCAGTGGATATTTGGAGCGCTTGGAGGGCTATTGTGCCAATGGAAATATCTGCCCCTGAAAACTAGACAGAAGCATTCTCAGAAACTGCTTCGGGATGTTTGCATTCAACTCACAGAGTTGAACATACCTCTGCATAGAGCAGTTTTGAAAACCTCTTTTTGTAGAATCTGCAAGTGGATATTCGGACCACTTTGAGGCCTTCATGGGAAACAGTAATATCTTCACATAAAAACTACATAGAAGCATTGTCCGGAAGTTCTTTGTGATGTGTGAATTCAACTCACAGAGTTGAAACTTCCTTTAATAGAGCAGTGTTGAAACACTCTTTTTCTAGAATCTGCAAGTAGATATTTGGAGCGCTTGGAGGCCTTCGTTGTAAACCGGAATATCTTCACAGGAAATGTAGATAGAGGCATGCTCAGAAACTTTTATGTCATATGTAGATTCAACTCACAGCGTTGAACCTTTCTTTTGATAGAGCAGTTTTGAAAAACTCTTTTATCGAATCTGCAAGTAGACATTTGGAGTGCTTTGAGGGCTCTGGTGCAAAAGGAAATGTCTTCCCATAGAAACTAGACTGAAGCATTCTCAGCAACTTCTTGGTGACGTTTGCATTCACCTCACAGTGTTGAACATACCTTTCCATAGAGTGGTTTTGAAACACAGTTTTTGTAGAATCGGCAAGTGGATATTTGGACTGCTTTGAGGCCTTCATCGGAAACGGGAATATCTTCACATAAACACTAGAGAGAAGCATTCTCAGAAACTTCCTTGTGGTCTGTCCATTCAACTCACAGAGTTGAACCTTCCTTTTTATGGAGCAGTTTTGAAACACTGTTTTCGGAGGATCTGCAAGTGGATATTTGGAGCGCTTTGAGGCCTATGGTAGTAAAAGAAATATCTGCCTATGACAACTAGACAGAAGCATTCCGAGAAACTTCTCTGTGATGTTTGCATTCAACTAGCAGAGTTGAACCTTCCTTTTGATAGGGCAGTTTGGAGACACTCTTTTTGTAGAATCTGCATGTGGATATCTGGAGCGGTTTGAGGCCTACGGTCAAAAAGGAAATATCTTCCTGGGAAAAATAGACGAAAGCATTCTCAGAAACTGCTTTGTGATATGTGCATTCGACTCACCGAGTTGAAACTTTTTTTTGATAGAGCAGTTTTGAAACACTCTGTAGAATCTGAAAGTGGATATTTGGAGCTCTTTGAGGGCTATGGCGGCAAAGAAACTATATTCACATTAAAGTAGACAGCAGCATTCTCAGAAACTTCTTTAGGATGTTTGCAGTAAACTCACAGAGTTGAACCTACCTTTCCGTAGAGCAGTTTTGAAACACTCTGTTTGTGGGATCCACAAGTGGATATTTGGACCGCTTTGAGACCTTTGCTGGAAATGGGAATATCTTCACATATAAACTAGACAGAAGCATTCTCAGAAACTTCTTCGTGATGTGTGCATTCTACTCCCAAATTTGAATCTTCCTTTTCATGAAGCAGTTTTGAAACACTCTATTTGTGCAATCTACAATGGGATAATTGGAACGCTTTGATGCCCATGGTAGAAAAGGAAATATCCTCATATAAAAACTAGACAGAAGGATTCACAGAAAATGCTTTGTGATGTGTGCATTCAAATCACGGAGTTGAATCTTTCTTTTGTTAGATCAGTTTTGAAACACTGTTTCTGTGGAATCTGCCAGCGGACACTTGGAGCGCTTTGAGGGCTATGGTGGAGAAGGAAATATCTTCACATAAAAACTAGAAAGAAGCATTCTCAGAACCGTTTATGTGAAGCGTGCATTCAACTCACAGAGTTGAACCTTCCTTTTGATAGAACAGTTTTGAAACACTCTTTTGAACAATTGCAGGTGAATATTTGGAGGGCTTTGAAGCCTTTGTTGGAAATGGGAATATCTTCACACACAAACTAGCCAGAAGCATTCTCAGAAACTTCTTTGTGATGTGTGCGTTGAACCCAGAGAGATGAACCTTTCCTTTGATAGAGCAGTTTTGAAACGTGTTTTTGTAAGATCTGCAAGCGGATAGTTGGCTTAGCTTTGTGTCCTTTGGTGGAAACGGGAATATTTTCTAATAAAAACTAGACAGAAATATTCTCAGAATCTTCTTTGTGATGTGGGCATTCAACTAACACAGTTGAACCTTTCTTTTCACAGAGCAGTTTTGAAACACTCTTTTGCTAGAATCTGCCAGTGGATATTTAGAGCGCTTTGAGGGCTATTGTGCCAACGGAAATATCTGCCCCTAAAAACTAGACAGAAGCATTCTCAGAAACTACTTTGTGATGTTTGCATTCAACTCACAGAGTTGAACATACCTCTTCATAGAGCAGTTTTGAAAACCTCTTTTTGTAGAATCTGCAAGTGGATATTCGGACCACTTTGAGGCCTTCATAGGAAACAGTAATACCTTCACATAAAAACTAGATAGAAGCATTGTCAGAAAGTTCTTTGTGATGTGTGAATTCAACTCACAGAGTTGAACCTTCCATTAATAGAGCAGTTTTGAAACACTCTTTTTCTAGAATCTGCAAGTAGATATTTGGAGCGCTTTGAGGCCTTCGTTGGAAACCGGAATATCTTCACATAAAAAGTAGATAGAGGCATTCTCAGTAAACTTTTTTGTGATATGTAGATTCAACTCACAGCGTTGAACCTTTCTTTGGATGGAGCAGTTTTGAAAAACCCTTTTATCGAATCTGCAGGTAGACATTTGGGGTGCTTTGAGGGCTGTGGTGCAAAAGGAAATGTCTTCCCATAGAAACTAGACTGAAGCATTCTCAGCAACTTCTTTGTGACGTTTGCATTCATCTCACAGTGTTGAACATACCTTTCCATAGAGTAGTTTTGAAACACTGTTTTTGTAGAATCGGCAAGTGGATATTTGGACTGCTTTGAGGCCTTCATCGGAAACGGGAATATCTTCACATAAACACTAGAGAGAAGCATTCTCAGAAACTTCTTTGTGATCTGTCCATTCAACTCACAGAGTTGAACCTTCCTTTTTATGGAGCAGCTTTGAAACACTCTTTTTGGAGAATCTGCAAGTGGATATTCGGAGCGCTTTGAGGCCTATGGTAGAAAAAGAAACATCTGCCTCTAAAAACTAGACTGAAGCATTCTGAGAAACTTCTTTGTGATGTTTGCTTTCAACTACCAGAGTTGAACCTTCCTTTTGATAGGGCAGTTTGGAAACACTCTTTTTGTAGAATCTGCATGTGGATATCTGGAGCGATTTGAGGCCTACAGTCAAAAAGGAAATATCTTCCTGGGAAAAATAGACGAAAGCATTCTCAGAAACTGCTTTGTGATATGTGCATTCGACTCTCCGAGTTGAAACTTTTTTTTGATAGAGCAGTTTTGAAACACTCTGTAGAATCTGAAAGTGGATATTTGGAGCTCTTCGAGGGCTATGGCGGAAAAGAAAATATATTCACATTAAACTAGACAGCAGCATTCTCAGAAACTTCTTTAGGATGTTTGCAGTAAACTCACAGAGTTGAACCTACCTTTCCGTAGAGCAGTTTTCAAACACTCTGTTTGTGGGATCCGCAAGTGGATATTTGGACCGCTTTGAGACCTTTGCTGGAAATGGGAATATCTTCACATATAAACTAGACAGAAGCATTCTCAGAATCTTCTTCGTGATGTGTGCATTCTACTCCCGAATTTGAATCTTCCTTTTCATGAAGCAGTTTTGAAACACTCTGTTTGTGCAATCCACAATTGGATAAATGGAACGCTTTGATGCCCATGGTAGAAAAGGAAATATCCTCATATAAAAACTAGACAGAAGCATTCACAGAAAATGCTTTTTGATGTGTGCATTCAAATCACGGAGTTGAATCTTTCTTTTGTTAGAGCAGTTTTGAAACACTGTTTCTGTGGAATCTGCCAGCGGACACTTGGAGCGCTTTGAGGGCTATGGTGGAGAAGGAAATATCTTCACATAAAAACTAGAAAGATGCATTCTCAGAAACATTTATGTGAAGCGTGCATTCAACTCACAGAGTTGAACCTTCCTTTTGATAGAACAGTTTTGAAACACTCTTTTGAACAATTGCAGGTCAATATTTGGAGCGCTTTGAAGCCTTTGCTGGAAATGGGAATATCTTCACGCACAAAGTAGCCAGAAGCATTCTCAGAAACTTCTTTGTGATGTGTGCGTTGAACCCAGAGAGATGAACCTTTCCTTTGATAGAGCAGTTTTGAAACGTGTTTTTGTAAGATCGGCAAGCGGATAATTGGCTTCGCTTTGTGTCCTTTGGTGGAAACGGGAATATCTTCTAACAAAAACTAGACAGAAATATTCTCAGAATCTTCTTTGTGATGTGGGCATTCAACTAACACAGTTGAACGTTTCTTTTCACAGAGCAGTTTTGAAACACTCTTTTGGTAGAATCTGCCAGTGGATATTTGGAGCGCTATGAGGGCTATTGTGCCAACGGAAATATCTGCCCCTAAAAACTAGACAGAAGCATCCTCAGAAACTACTTTTTGATGTTTGCATTCAACTCACAGAGTTGAACATACCCCTTCATAGAGCTGTTTTTAAAACCTCTTTTTGTAGAATCTGCAAGTGGATATTTGGACCACTTTGTGACCTTTCCTGGAAATGGAAATATCTTCACCTAAAAACTAGACAGAAGCATTGTCAGGAAGTTCTTTGTGATGTGTGAATTCAACTCACAGAGTTGAACCTTCCTTTAATAGAGCAGTTTTGAAACACTCTTTTTCTAGAATCTGCAAGTAGATATTTGGAGCGCTTGGAGGCCTTCTTTGGAAACCGGAATATCTTCACAGGAAATGTAGATAGAGGCATTCTCAGAAACTTTTTTTGTGATATGTAGATTCAACTCACAGCGTTGAACCTTTCTTTGGATGGAGCAGTTTTGAAAACCTCTTTTATCGAATCTGCAGGTAAACATTTGGGGTGCTTTGAGGGCTGTGGTGCAAAAGGAAATGTCTTCCCATAGAAACTAGACTGAAACATTCTCAGCAACTTCTTTGTGACGTTTGCATTCATCTCACAGCATTGAACATACCTTTCCAAAGAGTAGTTTTGAAACACTATTTTTGTAGAATCTGCAAGTGGATATTTGGACTGCTTTGAGGCCTTCATCGGAAACGGGAATATCTTCACATAAACACTAGAGAGAAGCATTCTCAGAAACTTCTTTGTGATCTGTCCATTCAACTCACAGAGTTGAACCTTCCTTTTAATGGAGCAGTTTTGAAACACTGTTTTTGGAGAATCTTCAAGTAGCTATTTGGAGCGCTTTGTGGCCTATGGTAGAAAAAGAAATATCTGCCTATAACAACTAGACAGAAGCATTCTGAGAAACTTCTTTGTGATGTTTGCATTCAACTACCAGAGGTGAACCTTCCTTTTGATAGGGCAGTTTGGAAACACTCTTTTTGTAGAATCTGCATGTGGATATCTGGAGCGATTTGAGGCCTACGGTCCAAAAGGAAATCTCTTCCTGGGAAAAATAGACGAAAGCATTCTCAGAAACTGCTTTGTGATATGTGCATTCGACTCTCCGAGTTGAAACTTTTTTTTGATAGAGCAGTTTTGAAACACTCTGTAGAATCTGAAAGTGGATATTTGGAGCTCTTTGAGGGCTATGGCGGAAAAGAAAATATATTCACATTAAACTAGACAGAAGCATTCCCAGAAACTTCTTTAGGATGTTTGCAGTAAACTCACAGAGTTGAACATACCTTTCCGTAGAGCAGTTTTGAAACACTCTGTTTGTGGGATCCGCAAGTGGATATTTGGACCGCTTTGAGACCTTTGCTGGAAACGGGAATATCTTCACATATAAACTGGACAGAAGCATTCTCAGAAACTTCTTCGTGATGTGTGCATTCTACTCCCAAATTTGAATCTTCCTTTTCATGAAGCAGTTTTGAAACACTCTGTTTGTGCAATCCACAATTGGATAATTGGAACGCTTTGATGCCCATGGTAGAAAAGGAAATATCTTCATATAAAAACTAGACACAAGGATTCACAGAAAATGCTTTGTGATGTGTGCATTCAAATCACGGAGTTGAATCTTTCTTTTGTCAGAGCAGTTTTGAAACACTGTTTCTGTGGAATCTGCCAGCGGACACTTGGAGCGCTTTGAGGGCTACGGTGGAGAAGGAAATATCTTCCCATAAAAACTAGAAAGAAGCATTCTCAGAAACATTTATGTGAAGCGTGCATTCCACTCACAGAGTTGAACCTTCCTTTTGATACAACAGTTTTGAAACACTCTTTTGAACAATTGCAGGTGAATCTTTGGAGCGCTTTGAAGCCTTTGTTGGAAATGGGAATATCTTCACACACAAACTAGCCAGAAGCATTCTCAGAAACTTCTTTGTGATGTGTGCGTTGAACCCAGAGAGATGAACCTTTCCTTTGAAAGAGCAGTTTTGAAACGTGTTTTTGTAAGATCTGCAAGCGGATAGTTGGCTTCGCTTTGTGTCCTTTGCTGGAAACGGGAATATCTTCTAATAAAAACTAGACAGAAATATTCTCAGAATCTTCTTTGTGATGTGGGCATTCAACTAACAGAGTTGAACGTTTCTTTTCACAGAGCAGTTTTGAAACACTCTTTTGGTAGAATCTGTCAGTGGATATTTGGAGCGCTTTGAGGGCTATTGTGCCAACGGAAATATCTGCCCCTAAAAACTAGACAGAAGCATTCTCAGAAACTACTTCGTGATGTTCGCATTCAACTCACAGAGTTGAACATACCTCTTCATAGAGCAGATTTGAAAACCTCTTTCTGTAGAATCTGCAAGTGGATATTCGGACCACTTTGAGGCCTTCATAGGAAACAGTAATATCTTCACATAAAAACTAGATAGAAGCATTGTCAGAAAGTTCTTGGTGATGTGTGAATTCAACTCACAGAGTTGAACCTTCCTTTAATAGAGCAGTTTTGAAACACTCTTTTTCTAGAATCTGCAAGTAGATATTTGGAGCGCTTTGAGGCCTTCGTTGGAAACCGGAATATCTTCACAGGAAAAGTAGATAGAGGCATTCTCAGAAACTTTTTTGTGATATGTAGATTCCACTCACAGCGTTGAACCTTTCTTTGGATGGAGCAGTTTTGAAAAACTCTTTTATCGAATCTGCAGGTAGACATTTGGGGTGCTTTGAGGGCTGTGGTGCAAAAGGAAATGTCTTCCCATAGAAACTAGACTGAAGCATTCTCAGCAACTTCTTGGTGACGTTTGCATTCATCTCACAGTGTTGAACATACCTTTCCATAGAGTGGTTTTGAAACACTGTTTCTGTAGAATCGGCAAGTGGATATTTGGACTGCTTTGAGGCCTTCATCGGAAACGGGAATATCTTCACATAAACACTAGAGAGAAGCATTCTCAGAAACTTCTTTGTGATCTGTCCATTCAACTCACAGAGTTGAACCTTCCTTTTCATGGAGCAGTTTTGAAACACTGTTTGTGGAGAATCTGCAAGTGGATATTTGGAGCGCCTTGAGGCCAATGGTAGAAAAAGAAATATCTGCCTCTAAATACTAGACTGAAGCATTCCGAGAAACTTCTCTGTGATGTTTGCATTCAACTAGCAGAGTTGAACCTTCCTTTTGATAGGGCAGTTTGGAAACACTCTTTTTGTAGAATCTGCATGTGGATATCTGGAGCGGTTTGAGGCCTACGGTCAAAAAGGAAATATCTTCCTGGGATAAATAGACGAAAGCATTCTCAGAAACTGCTTTGTGATATGTGCATTCCACTCACCGAGTTGAAACTTTTTTTGATAGAGCAGTTTTGAAACACTTTGTAGAATCTCAAAGTGGATATTTGGAGCTCTTTGAGGGCTATGGCGGAAAAGAAAATATATTCACATTAAACTTGACATCAGCATTCTCAGAAACTTATTTATGATGTTTGCACTAAACTCACAGAGTTGAACATACCTTTCCGTAGAGCAGTTTTGAAACACTCTGTTTGTGGGATCCGCAAGTGGATATTTGGACCGCTTTGAGACCTTTGCTGGAAATGGGAATATCTTCACATATAAACTAGACAGAAGCATTCTCAGAAACTTCTTCGTCACGTGTGCATTCTACTCCCAGCTTTGAATCTTCCTTCTCATGAAGCAGTTTTGAAAGACTCTATTTGTGCAATCTACAATTGGATAATTGGAACGCTTTGATGCCCATGGTAGAGAAGGAAATATCCTCATATAAAAACTAGACAGAAGGATTCACAGAAAATGCTTTGTGATGTGTGCATTCAAATCACGGAGTTGAATCTTTCTTTTGTTAGAGCAGTTTTGAAACACTGTTTCTGTGGAATCTGCCAGCGGACACTTGGAGTGCTTTGAGGGCTGTGGTGGAGAAGGAAATATCTTCCCATAAAAACTAGAAAGAGGCATTCTCAGAAACTTTTGTGTGATATGTAGATTCAACTCACAGCGTTGAACCTTCCTTTTGATAGAACAGTTTTGAAACACTCTTTTGAACAATTGTAGGTGAATATTTCGAGGGCTTTGAAGCCTTTGTTGGAAATGGGAATATCTTCACACACAAAGTAGCCAGAAGCATTCTCAGAAACTTCTTTGTGAGGTGTGCGTTGAACCCAGAGAGAAGAACCTTTCCTTTGATAGAGCAGTTTTGAAACGTGTTTTTGTAAGATCGGCAAGCGGATAATTGGCTTCGCTTTGTGTCCTTTGGTGGAAACGGGAATATCTTCTAATAAAAACTAGACAGAAATATTCTCAGAATCTCCTTTGTGATGTGGGCATTCAACTAACACAGTTGAACATTTCTTTTCACAGAGCAGTTTTGAAACACTCTTTTGGTAGAATCTGCCAGTGGATATTTGGAGCGCTTTGAGGGCTGTTGTGCCAATGGAAATATCTGCCCCTAAAATCTAGACAGAAGCATTCTCAGAAACTGCTTCGTGATGTTTGCATTCAACTCACAGGGTTGAACATACCTCTGCATAGAGCTGTTTTGAAAACCTCTTTTTGTAGAATCTGCAAGTGGATATTCGGACCACTTTGAGGCCTTCATAGGAAACAGTAATATCTTCACATAAAAACTAGATAGAAATATTCTCAGAATCTTCTTTGTGATGTGGGCATTAAACTCACAGATTTGAACCTTCCTTTAATAGAGCAGTTTTGAAACACACTTTTTCTAGAATCGGCAAGTAGATCTTTGGAGCGCTTTGAGGCCTTCGTTGGAAACCGGAATATCTTCACAGGAAAAGTAGATAGAGGCATTCTCAGAAACTTTTTCGTGATATGTGGATTCAACTCACAGCGTTGAACCTTTCTTTTGATAGAGCAGTTTTGTAAAACTCTTTTATCGAATCTGCAAGTAGACATTTGGAGTGCTTTGAGGGCTGTGGTGCAAAAGGAAATGTCTTCCCATAGAAAGTAGACTGAAGCATTCTCAGCAACTTCTTTGTGACGTTTGCATTCATCTCACAGTGTTGAACATACCTTTCCATAGAGAAGTTTTGAAACACTAATTTTGTAGAATCTGCAAGTGGATATTTGGAGTGCTTTGAGGCCTTCATCGGAAACGGGAATATCTTCACATAAACACTAGACAGAAGCATTCTCAGAAACTTCTTTGTCATCTGTCCATTCAACTCACAGAGTTGCACCTTCCTTTTTATGGAGCAGTTTTGAAACACTCCTTTTGGAGAATCTGCAAGTGGATATTTGGAGCGCTTTGAGGCCTATGGTAGAAAAAGAAATATCTGCCTCTAAAAACCAGACAGAAGCATTCCGAGAAAAGTTCTTTGTGATGTTTGCATTCAACTAGCACAGTTGAACCTTCCTTTTGATAGGGCAGTTTGGAAACACTCTTTTTGTAGAATCTGCATGTGGATATCTGGAGCGGTTTGAGGCCTACGGTCAAAAAGGAAATATCTTCCTGGGAAAAATAGACGAAAGCATTCTCAGAAACTGCTTTGTGATATGTGCATTCGACTCACCGAATTGCAACTTTTTTTGGATAGAGCAGTTTTGAAACACTCTGTAGAATCTGAAAGTGGATATTTGGAGCTCTTTGAGGGCTATGGCGGAAAAGAAAATATATTCACTTTAAACTAGACAGCAGCATTCTCAGAAACTTCTTTAGGATGTTTGCAGTAAACTCACAGAGTTGAACATACCTTTCCGTAGAGCAGTTTTGAAACACTCTGTTTGTGGGATCCGCAAGTGGATATTTGGACCGCTTTGAGACCTTTGCTGGAAATGGCAATATCTTCACGTATAAACTAGACAGAAGCATTCTCAGAAACTTCTTCGTGAAGTGTGCAGTCTACTCCGGAATTTGAATCTTCCTTTTCATGAAGCAGTTTTGAAACACTCTGTTTGTGCAATCCACAATTGGATAATTGGAACGCTTTGATGCCCATGGTAGAAAAGGAAATATACTCATATAAAAACTAGACAGAAGGATTCACAGAAAATGCTTTGTGATGTGTGCATTCAAATCACAGAGTTGAATCTTTCTTTTGTTAGAGCAGTTTTGAAACACTGTTTCTGTGGAATCTGCCAGCGGACACTTGGAGCGCTTTGAGGGCTACGGTGGAGAAGGAAATATCTTCACATAAAAACTAGAAAGAAGCATTCTCAGAAACATTTATGTGAAGCGTGCATTCAACTCACAGAGTTGAACCTTCCTTTTGATAGAACAGTTTTGAAACACTCTTTTGAACAATTGCAGGTGAATCTTTGGAGCGCTTTGAAGCCTTTGTTGGAAATGGGAATATCTTCACACACAAACTAGCCAGAAGCATTCTCAGAAACTTCTTTGTGATGTGTGCGTTGAACCCAGAGAGATGAACCTTTCCTTTGATAGAGCAGTTTTGAAACGTGTTTTTGTAAGATCGGCAAGCAGATAATTGGCTTCGCTTTGTGTCCTTTGGTGGAAACGGGAATATCTTCTAATAAAAACTAGACAGAAATATTCTCAGAATCTCCTTTGTGATGTGGGCATTCAACTAACACAGTTGAACATTTCTTTTCACAGAGCAGTTTTGAAACACTCTTTTGGTAGAATCTGCCAGTGGATATTTGGAGCGCTTGGAGGGACTACTGTGCCAATGGAAATATCTGCCCCTGAAAACTAGACAGAAGCATTCTCAGAAACTACTTCGTGATGTTTGCAATCAACTCACAGAGTTGAACATACCTCTTCACAGAGCAGTTTTGAAAACCTCTTTTTGTAGAATCTGCAAGTGGATATTCGGAGCACTTTGAGGCCTTCATAGGAAACAGTAATATCTTCGCATAAAAACTAGATAGAAGCATTGTCAGGAAGTTCTTTGTGATGTGTGAATTCAACTCACAGAGTTGAACCTTCCTTTAATAGAGCAGTTTTGAAACACTCTTTTTCTAGAATCTGCAAGTAGATATTTGGAGCGCTTGGAGGCCTTCGTTGGAAACCGGAATATCTTCACAGGAAATGTAGATAGAGGCATTCTCAGAAACTTTTTCGTGATATGTGGATTCACCTCACAGCGTTGAACCTTTCTTTTGATAGAGCAGTTTTGGAAAACTCTTTTATCGAATCTGCAAGTAGACATTTGGAGTGCTTTGAGGGCTGTGGTGCAAAAGGAAATGTCTTCCCATAGAAACTAGACTGAAGCATTCTCAGCAACTTCTTGGTGACGTTTGCATTCATCTCACAGTTTTGAACATACCTTTCCATAGAGTGGTTTTGAAACACTGTTTTTGTATAATCGGCAAGTGGATATTTGGACTGCTTTCAGGCCTTCATCGGAAACGGGAATATCTTCACATAAACACTAGAGAGAAGCATTCTCAGAAACCTCTTTGTGGTCTGTCCATTCAACTCACAGAGTTGAACCTTCCTTTTTATGGAGCAGTTTTGAAACCCTGTTTTTGGAGAATCTGCAAGTGGATATTTGGAGCGCTTTGAGGCCTATGGTAGAAAAAGAAATATCTGCCTATGACAACTAGACAGAAGCATTCCGAGAAAAGTTCTTTGTGATGTTTGCATTCAACTACCAGAGTTGAACCTTCCTTTTGATAGGGCAGTTTGGAAACACTCTTTTTGTAGAATCTGCATGTGGATATCTGGAGCGGTTTGAGGCCTACGGTCAAAAAGGAAATATCTTCCTGGGAAAAATAGACAAAAGCATTCTCAGAAACTGCTTTGTGATATGTGCATTCGACTCACCGAGTTGAAACTTTTTTTTGATAGAGCAGATTTGAAACTCTCTGTAGAATCTGAAAGTGGATATTTGGAGCTCTTTGAGGGCTATGGCGGAAAAGAAAAGATATTCACATTAAACTAGACAGCAGCATTCCCAGAAACTTCTTTAGGATGTTTGCAGTAAACTCACAGAGTTGAACATACCTTTCCGTAGAGCAGCTTTGAAACACTCTCTTTGTGGGATCCGCAAGTGGATATTTGGACTGCTTTGAGACCTTTGCTGGAAACGGGAATATCTTCACATATAAACTGGACAGAAGCATTCTCAGAAACTTCTTCGTGATGTGTGCATTCTACTCCCGAATTTGAATCTTCCTTTTCATGAAGCAGTTTTGAAACACTCTGTTTGTGCAATCCACAATTGGATAATTGGAACGCTTTGATGCCCATGGTAGAAAAGGAAATATCCTCATATAAAAACTAGACACAAGGATTCACAGAAAATCCTTTGTGATGTGTGCATTCAAATCACGGAGTTGAATCTTTCTTTTGTGAGAGCAGTTTTGAAACACTGTTTCTGTGGAATCTGCCAGCGGACTCTTGGAGCTCTTTGAGGGCTATGGTGGAGAAGGAAATATCTTCCCATAAAAACTAGAAAGAAGCATTCTCAGAAACATTTATGTGAAGCGTGCATTCAACTCACAGAGTTGAACCTTCGTTTTGATACAACAGTTTTGAAACACTCTTTTGAACAATTGCAGGTGAATCTTTGGAGCGCTTTGAAGCCTTTGTTGGAAATGGGAATATCTTCACACACAAACTAGCCAGAAGCATTCTCAGAAACTTCTTTGTGATGTGTGCGTTGAACCCAGAGAGATGAACCTTTCCTTGGATAGAGCAGTTTTGAAACGTGTTTTTGTAAGATCTGCAAGCGGATAATTGGCTTCGCTTTGTGTCCTTTGGTGGAAACGGGAATATCTTCTAATAAAAACTAGACGGAAATATTCTCAGAATCTCCTTTGTGATGTGGGCATTCAACTAACACAGTTGAACATTTCTTTTCACAGAGCAGTTTTGAAACACTCTTTTGGGAGAATCTGCCAGTGGATATTTGGAGCGCTTGGAGGGCTATTGTGCCAATGGAAATATCTGCCCCTGGAAACTAGACAGAAGCATTCTCAGAAACTACATTGTGATGTTTGCATTCGAATCACAGAGTTGAACATACCTCTTCATAGAGCAGTTTTGAAAACCTTTTTTGTAGAATCTGAAAGTGGATATTCGGACCACTTTGAGGCCTTCATAGGAAACATTAATATCTTCACATAAAAACTAGATAGAAGCATTGTCAGAAAGTTCTTTGGGATGTGTGAATTCAACTCACAGAGTTGAACCTTCCTTTAATAGAGCAGTTTTGAAACACTCTTTTTCTAGAATCTGCAAGTAGATATTTGGAGCGCTTTCAGGCCTTCTTTGGAAACCGGAATATCTTCACATAAAAAGTAGATAGAGGCATTCTCAGAAACTTTTTCGTGATATGTGGATTCAACTCACAGCGTTGAACCTTTCTTTTGATAGAGCAGTTTTGTAAAACTCTTTTATCGAATCTGCAAGTAGACATTTGGACTGCTTTGAGGGCTGTGGTGCAAAAGGAAATGTCTTCCCATAGAAACTAGACTGAAGCATTCTCAGCAACTTCTTGGTGACGTTTGCATTCATCTCACAGTGTTGAACATACCTTTCCATAGAGTAGTTTTGAAACACTGTTTGTGTAGAATCGGTAAGTGGATATTTGGACTGCTTTGAGGCCTTCATCGGAAACGGGAATATCTTCACATAAACACTAGAGAGAAGCATTCTCAGAAACTTCTTTGTGATCTGTCCATTCAACTCACAGAGTTGAACCTTCCTTTTTATGGAGCAGTTTTGAAACACTGTTTTTGGAGGATCTGCAAGTGGATATTTGGAGCAATTTGAGGCCTATGGTAGAAAAAGAAATATCTGCCTCTAAAAACTAGACAGAAGCATTCCGAGAAACTCCTCTGTGATGTTTGCATTGAACTAGCAGAGTTGAACCTTCCTTTTGATAGGGCAGTTTGGAAACACTCTTTTTGTAGAATCTGCATGTGGATATCTGGAGCGGTTTGAGGCCTACGGTCAAAAAGGAAATATCTTCCTGGGAAAAATAGACGAAAGCATTCTCAGAAACTGCTTTGTGATATGTGCATTCGACTCACCGATTTGAAACTTTTTTTTGATAGAGCAGTTTTGAAACACTCTGTAGAATCTGAAAGTGGATATTTGGAGCTCTTTGAGGGCTATGGCGGAAAAGAAAATATATTCACATTAAACTAGACAGCAGCATTCTCAGAAACTTCTTTAGGATGTTTACAGTAAACTCACAGAGTTGAACATACCTTTCCGTAGAGCAGTTTTGAAACACTCTGTTTGTGGGATCCGCAAGTGGATATTTGGACCGCTTTGAGACCTTTGCTGGAAATGGGAATATCTTCACATATAAACTAGACAGAAGCATTCTCAGAAACTTCTTCGTGATGTGTGCATTCTACTCCCGAATTTGAATCTTCCTTTTTATGAAGCAGTTTTGAAACACTCTGTTTGTGCAATCCACAATTGGATAATTGGAACGCTTTGATGCCCATGGTAGAAAAGGAAATATCCTCATATAAAAACTAGACAGAAGGATTCACAGAAAATGCTTTGTGATGTGTGCATTCAAATCACGGAGTTGAATCTTTCTTTTGTTAGAGCAGTTTTGAAACACTGTTTCTGTGGAATCTGCCAGCGGACACTTGGAGCGCTTTGAGGGCTACGGTGGAGAAGGAAATATCTTCACATAAAAAATAGAAAGAAGCATTCTCAGAAACATTTATGTGAAGCGTACATTCAACTCACAGAGTTGAACCTTCCTTGTGATACAACAGTTTTGAAACACTCTTTTGAACAATTGCAGGTGAATCTTTGGAGCGCTTTGAAGCCTTTGTTGGAAATGGGAATATCTTCACACACAAACTAGCCAGAAGCATTCTCAGAAACTTCTTTGTGATGTGTGCGTTGAACCCAGAGAGATGAACCTTTCCTTGGATAGAGCAGTTTTAAAACGTGTTTTTGTAAGATCTGCAAGCGGATAATTGGCTTCGCTTTGTGTCCTTTGGTGGGAACGGGAATATCTTCTAATAAAAACTAGACAGAAATATTCTCAGAATCTCCTTTGTGATGTGGGCATTCAACTAACACAGTTGAACATTTCTTTTCACAGAGCAGTTTTGAAACACTCTTTTGGTCGAATCTGCCAGTGGATATTTGGAGCGCTTTGAGGGCTGTTGTGCCAATGGAAATATCTGCCCCTAAAATCTAGACAGAAGCATTCTCAGAAACTGCTTCGTGATGTTTGCATTCAACTCACAGACTTGAACATACCTCTGCATAGAGCAGTTTTGAAAACCTCTTTTTGTAGAATCTGCAAGTGGATATTCGGACCACTCTGAGGCCTTCATGGGAAACAGTAAAATCTTCACATAAAAACTAGATAGAAGCATTGTCAGAAAGTTCTTTGTGATGTGTGAATTCAACTCACAGAGTTGAACCTTCCTTTAATAGAGCAGTTTTGAAACACTCTTTTTCTAGAATCTGCAAGTAGATATTTGGAGCGCTTTGAGGCCTTCGTTGGAAACCGGAATATCTTCACATAAAACGTAGATAGAGGCATTCTCAGAAACTTTTTTGTGATATGTAGATTCAACTCACAGCATTGAACCTTTCTTTGGATGGAGCAGTTTTGAAAAACCCTTTTATCGAATCTGCAGGTAGACATTCGGGGTGCTTTGAGGGCTGTGGTGCAAAAGGAAATGTCTTCCCATAGAAACTAGACTGAAGCATTCTCAGCAACTTCTTTGTGACGTTTGCATTCATCTCACAGTGTTGAACATACCTTTCCATAGAGTAGTTTTGAAACACTATCTTTGTAGAATCTGCAAGTGGATATTTGGACTGCTTTGAGGCCTTCATCGGAAACGGGAATATCTTCACATAAACACTAGAGAGAAGCATTCTCAGAAACTTCTTTGTCATCTGTCCATTCAACTCACAGAGTTGAACCTTCCTTTTTATGGAGCAGTTTTGAAACACTCCTTTTGGAGAATCTGCAAGTGGATATTTGGAGCGCTTTGAGGCCTATTGTAGAGAAAGAAATATCTGCCTCTAAAAACCAGACAGAAGCATTCCGAGAAACTTCTTTGTGATGTTTGCATTCAACTAGCAGAGTTGAACCTTCCTTTTGATAGGGAAGTTTGGAAACACTCTTTTTGTAGAATCTGCATGTGGATATCTGGAGCGGTTTGAGGCCTACGGTCAAAAAGGAAATATCTTCCTGGGAAAAATAGACGAAAGCATTCTCAGAAAGTGCTGTGTGATATGTGCATTCGACTCACCGAGTTGAAACTTTTTTTTGATAGAGCAGTTTTGAAACACTCTGTAGAATCTGAAAGTGGATATTTGGAGCTCTTTGAGGGCTATGGCGGAAAAGAAAATATATTCACATTAAAGTAGACAGCAGCATTCTCAGAAACTTCTTTAGGATGTTTGCAGTAAACTCACAGAGTTGAACATACCTTTCCGTAGAGCAGTTTTGAAACACTCTGTTTGTGGGTTCCGCACGTGGATATTTGGACCGCTTTGAGACCTTTGCTGGAAATGGGAATATCTTCACATATAAACTAGACAGAAGCATTCTCAGAAACTTCTTCGTGATGTGTGCATTCTCCTCCCGATTTCGAATCTTCCTTTTCATGAAGCAGTTTTGAAACACTCTGTTTGTGCAATCCACAATTGGATAATTGGAACGCTTTGATGCCCATGGTAGAAAAGGAAATATCCTCATATAAAAACTAGACAGAAGGATTCACAGAAAATGCTTTGTGATGTGTGCATTCAAATCACAGAGTTGAATCTTTCTTTTGTCAGAGCAGTTTTGAAACACTGTTTCTGTGGAATCTGCCAGCGGACACTTGGAGCGCTTTGAGGGCTGTGGTGGAGAAGGAAATATCTTCCCATAAAAACTAGAAAGAAGCATTCTCAGAAACATTTATGTGAAGCGTGCATTCAACTCACAGAGTTGAACCTTCCTTTTGATAGAAGAGTTTTGAAACACTCTTTTGAACAATTGCAGGTGAATCTTTGGAGCGCTTTGAAGCCTTTGTTGGAAATGGGAATATCTTCACACACAAACTAGCCAGAAGCATTCTCAGAAACTTCTTTGTGATGTGTGCGTTGAACCCAGAGAGATGAACCTTTCCTTTGATAGAGCAGTTTTGAAACGTGTTTTTGTAAGATCGGCAAGCGGATAACTGGCTTCGCTTTGTGTCCTTTGGTGGAAACGGGAATATCTTCTAATAAAAACTAGACAGAAATATTCTCACAATCATCTTTGTAATGTGGGCATTCAACTAACACAGTTGAACATTTCTTTTCACAGAGCAGTTTTGAAACACTCTTTTGCTAGAATCTGCCAGTGGATACTTGGAGCGCTTTGAGGGCTATTGTGCCAATGGAGATATCTTCCCCTAAAAACTAGACAGAAGCATTCTCAGAAACTGCTTTGGGATGTTTGCATTCAACTGACAGAGTTGAACATACCTCTTCATAGAGCAGTTTTGAAAACCTCTTTTTGTAGAATCTGCAAGTGGATATTCGGACCACTTTGAGGCCTTCATAGGAAACAGTAATATCATCACATAAAAACTAGATAGAAGGATTGTCAGAAAGTTCTTTGTGATGTGTGAATTCAACTCACAGAGTTGAACCTTCCTTTAATAGAGCAGTTTTGAAACAGTCTTTTTCTAGAATCTGCCAGTAGATATTTGGAGCGCTTTGAGGCCTTCGTTGGAAACCGGAATATCTTCACATAAAAAGTAGATAGAGGCATTCTCAGAAACTTTTTTGTGATATGTAGATTCAACTCACAGCGTTGAACCTTTCTTTGGATGGAGCAGTTTTGAAAAACTCTTTTATCGAATCTGCAGGTAGACATTCGGGGTGCTTTGAGGGCTGTGGTGCAAAAGGAAATGTCTTCCCATAGAAACTAGACTGAATCATTCTCAGCAACTTCTTGGTGACGTTTGCATTCATCTCACAGTGTTGAACATACCTTTGCATAGAGTAGTTTCAAAACACTATTTTTGTAGAATCTGCAAGTGGACATTTGGACTGCTTTGAGGCCTTCATCGGAAACGGGAATATCTTCACATAAACACTAGACAGAAGCATTCTCAGAAACTTCTTTGTGATCTGCCCATTCAACTCACAGAGTTGAACCTTCCTTTTTATGGAGCAGTTTTGAAACACTGTTTTTGGAGAATCTGCAAGTGGATATTTGGAGCGCTTTGAGGCCTATGGTAGGAAAAGAAATATCTGCCTCTAAAAACTAGACAGAAGCATTCCGAGAAACTTCTTTGTGATGTTTGCATTCAACTAGCAGAGTTGAACCTTCCTTTTGATAGGGCAGTTTGGAAACACTCTTTTTGTAGAATCTCCATGTGGATATCTGGAGCGGTTTGAGGCCTACGGTCAAAAAGGAAATATCTTCCTGGGAAAAATAGACGAAAGCATTCTCAGAAACTGCTTTGTGATATGTGCATTCGACTCACCGATTTGAAACTTTTTTTGGATAGAGCAGTTTTGAAACACTCTGTAGAATCTGAAAGTGGATATTTGGAGCTCTTTGAGGGCTATGGCGGAAAAGAAAATATATTCACATTAAACTAGACAGCAGCATTCTCAGAAACTTCTTTAGGATGTTTGCAGTAAACTCACAGAGTTGAACATACCTTTCCGTAGAGCAGTTTTGAAACCCTCTGTTTGTGGGATCCGCAAGGGGATATTTGGACCGCTTTGAGACCTTTGCTGGAAATGGGAATATCTTCACATATAAACTAGACAGAAGCATTCTCAGAAACTTCTTCGTGATGTGTGCATTCTACTCCCGAATTTGAATCTTCCTTTTCATGAAGCAGTTTTGAAACAATCTGTTTGTGCAATCCACAATTGGATAATTGGAACGCTTTGATGCCCATGGTAGAAAAGGAAATATCCTCATATAAAAACTAGACAGAAGGATTCACAGAAAATGCTTTGTGTTGTGTGCATTCAAATCACGGAGTTGAATCTTTCTTTTGTCAGAGCAGTTTTGAAACACTGTTTCTGTGGAATCTGCCAGCGGACACTTGGAGCGCTTTGAGGGCTGTGGTGGAGAAGGAAATATCTTCCCATAAAAACTAGAAAGAAGCATTCTCAGAAACATGTATGTGAAGCGTGAATTCAACTCACAGTGTTGAACCTTCCTTTTGATAGAACAGTTTTGAAACACTCTTTTGAACAATTGCAGGTGAATCTTTGGAGCGCTTTGAAGCCTTTGTTGGAAATGGGAATATCTTCACACACAAACTAGCCAGAAGCATTCTCAGAAACTTCTTTGTGATGCGTGCGTTGAACCCAGAGAGATGAACCTTTCCTTTGATAGAGCAGTTTTGAAACGTGTTTTTGTAAGGTCTGCAAGCGGATAATCGACTTCGCTTTGTGTCCTTTGGTGGAAACGGGAATATCTTCTAATAAAAACTAGACAGAAATATTCTCAGAATCTCCTTTGTGATGTGGGCATTCAACTAACACAGTTGAACATTTCTTTTCACAGAGCAGTTTTGAAACACTCTTTTGGTAGAATCTGCCAGTGGATATTTGGAGCACTTGGAGGGCTATTGTGCCAATGGAAATATCTGCCCCTGAAAACTAGACAGAAGCATTCTCAGAAACTACTTCATGATGTTTGCATTCAACTCAGAGAGTTGAACATACCTCTTCACAGAGCAGTTTTGAAAACCTCTTTTTGTAGAATCTGCAAGTGGATATTCGGAGCACTTTGAGGCCTTCATAGGAAACAGTAATATCTTCGCATAAAAACTAGATAGAAGCATTGTCAGAAAGTTCTTTGTGATGTGTGAATTCAACTCACAGAGTTGAACCTTCCTTTAATAGAGCAGTTTCGAAACACTCTTTTTCTAGAATCTGCAAGTAGATATTTGGAGCGCTTTGAGGCCTTCGATGAAAACCGGAATATCTTCACAGGAAAAGTAGATAGAGGCATTCTCAGAAACTTTTTCGTGATATGTGGATTCAACTCACAGCGTTGAACCTTTCTTTTGATAGAGCAGTGTTGTAAAACTCTTTTATCGAATCTGCAAGTAGACATTTGGAGTGCTTTGGGGGCTGTGGTGCAAAAGGAAATGTCTTCCCATAGAAACTAGACTGAAGCTTTCTCAGCAACTTCTTGGTGACGTTTGCATTCATCTCACAGTGTTGAACATACCTTTCCATAGAGTGGTTTTGAAACACTGTTTTTGTAGAATCGGCAAGTGGATATTTGGACTGCTTTGAGGCCTTCATCGGAAACGGGAATATCTTCACATAAACACTAGAGAGAAGCATTCTCAGAAACTTCTTTGTGATCTGTCCATTCAACTCACAGAGTTGAACCTTCCTTTTTATGGAGCAGTTTTGAAACACTGTTTGTGGAGAATCTGCAAGTGGATATTTGGAGCGCCTTGAGGCCAATGGTAGAAAAAGAAATATCTGCCTCTAAATACTAGACTGAAGCATTCTGAGAAACTTCTTTGTGATGTTTGCATTCAACTACCAGAGTTGAACCTTCCTTTTGATAGGGCAGTTTGGAAACACTCATTTGTAGAATCTGCATGTGGATATCTGGAGCGATTTGAGGCCTACGGTCAAAAAGGAAATATCTTCCTGGGAAAAATAGACGAAAGCATTCTCAGAAACTGCTTTGTGATATGTGCATTCCACTCTCCGAGTTGAAACTTTTTTTTGATAGAGCAGTTTTGAAACACTCTGTAGAATCTGAAAGTGGATATTTGGAGCTCTTTGAGGGCTATGGCGGAAAAGAAAATATATTCACATTAAAGTAGACAGCAGCATTCTCAGAGACTTCTTTAGGATGTTTGCAGTAAACTCACAGAGTTGAACATACCTTTCCGTAAAGCAGTTTTGAAACCCTCTGTTTGTGGGATCTGCAAGTGGATATTTGGACCGCTCTGAGACCTTTGCTGGAAATGGGAATATCTTCACATATAAACTAGACAGAAGCATTCTCAGAAACTTCTTCGTGATGTGTGCATTCTACTCCCAAATTTGAATCTTCCTTCTCATGAAGCAGTTTTGAAACACTCTATTTGTGCAATCTACAATTGGATAATTGGAACCCTTTGATGCCCATGGTAGAAAAGGAAATATCCTCATATAAAAACTAGACAGAAGGATTCACAGAAAATGCTTTGTGATGTGTGCATTCAAATCACGGAGTTGAATCTTTCTTTTGTTAGAGCAGTTTTGAAACACTGTTTCTGTGGAATCTGCCAGCGGACACTTGGAGCGCTTTGAGGGCTACGGTGGAGAAGGAAATATCTTCACATAAAAACTAGAAAGAAGCATTCTCAGAACCATTTATGTGAAGCGTGCATTCAACTCACAGAGTTGAACCTTCCTTTTGATAGAACAGTTTTGAAACACTCTTTTGAACAATTGCAGGTGAATATTTGGAGGGCTTTGAAGCCTTTGTTGGAAACGGGAATATCTTCACACACCAACTAGCCAGAAGCATTCTCAGAAACTTGTTTGTGATGTGTGCGTTGAACCCAGAGAGATGAACCTTTCCTTCGATAGAGCAGTTTTGAAACGTGTTTTTGTAAGATCGGCAAGCGGATAATTGGCTTCGCTTTGTGTCCTTTGGTGGAAACGGGAATATCTTATAATAAAAACTAGACAGAAATATTCTCAGAATCTTCTTTGTGATGTGGGCATTCAACTAACACAGTTGAACGTTTCTTTTCACAGAGCAGTTTTGAAACACTCTTTTGGTAGAATCTGTCAGTGGATATTTGGAGCGCTTTGAGGGCTATTGTGCCAACGGAAATATCTGCCCCTAAAAACTAGACAGAAGCATTCTCAGAAACTGCTTCGTGATGTTTGCATTCAACTCACAGACTTGAACATACCTCTGCATAGAGCAGTTTTGAAAACCTCTTTTTGTAGAATCTGCAAGTGGATATTCGGACCACATTGAGGCCTTCATAGGAAACAGTAATATCTTCACATAAAAACTAGATAGAAGCATTGTCAGAAAGTTCTTTGTGATGTGTGAATTCAACTCACAGAGTTGAACCTTCCTTTAATAGAGCAGTTTTGAAACACTCTTTTTCTAGAATCTGCAAGTAGATATTTGGAGCGCTTTGAGGCCTTCGTTGGAAACCGGAATATCTTCACATAAAAAGTAGGTAGAGGCATTCTCAGAAACTTTTTTGTGACATGTAGATTCAACTCACAGCGTTGAACCTTTCTTTTGATAGAGCAGTTTTGAAAAACTCTTTTATCGAATCTGCAAGTAGACATTTGGAGTGCTTTGAGGGCTGTGGTGCAAAAGGAAATGTCTTCCCATAGAAACTAGACTGAAGCATTCTCAGCAACTTCTTTGTGACGTTTGCATTCATCTCACAGTGTTGAACATACCTTTCCATAGAGTAGTTTTGAAGCACTATTTTTGTAGAATCTGCAAGTGGATATTTGGACTGCTTTGAGGCCTTCATCGGAAACGGGAATACCTTCACATAAACACTAGACAGAAGCATTCTCAGAAACTTCTTTGTGGTCTGTCCATTCAACTCACAGAGTTGAACCTTCCTTTTTATGGAGCAGTTTTGAAACACTGTTTTTGGAGGATCTGCAAGTGGATATTTGGAGCGCTTTGAGGCCCATGGTAGAAAAAGAAATATCTGCCTATGACAACTAGACAGAAGCATTCCGAGAAACTTCCTTGCGATGTTTGCATTCAACTAGCAGAGTAGAACCTTCCTTTTGATAGGGCAGTTTGGAAACACTCTTTTTGTAGAATCTGCATGTGGATATCTGGAGCGGTTTGAGGCCTACGGTCAAAAAGGAAATATCTTCCTGGGAAAAATAGACGAAAGCATTCTCAGAAACTGCTTTGTGATATGCGCATTCGACTCACCTAGTTGAAACTTTTTTTTGATAGAGCAGTTTTGAAACACTCTGTAGAATCTGAAAGTGGATATTTGGAGCTCTTTGAGGGCTATGGCGGAAAAGAAAATATATTCACATTAAAGTAGACAGCAGCATTCCCAGAAACTTCTTTAGGATGCTTGCAGTAAACTCACAGAGTTGAACATACCTTTCCGTAGAGCAGTTTTGAAACACTCTGTTTGTGGGATCCGCAAGTGGATATTTGGACCGCTTTGAGACCTTTGCTGGAAACGGGAATATCTTCACATATAAACTAGACAGAAGCATTCTCAGAAACTTCTTCGTGATGTGTGCATTCTACTCCCAAATTTGAATCTTCCTTTTCATGAAGCAGTTTTGAAACACTCTATTTATGCAATCTACAATTGGATAATTGGAACGCTTTGATGCCCGTGGTAGAAAAGGAAATATCCTCATATAAAAACTAGACAGAAGGATTCACAGAAAATGCTTTGTGATGTGTGCATTCAAATCACGGAGTTGAATCTTTCTTTTCTTAGAGCAGTTTTGAAACACTGTTTCTGTGGAATCTGCCAGCGGACACTTGGAGCCCTTGGAACGCTATGGTGGAGAAGGAAATATCTTCACATAAAAACTAGAAAGAAGCATTCTCAGAAACATTTATGTGAAGCGTGCATTCAACTCACAGAGTTGAACATTTCGTTTGATAGAACAGTTTTGAAACACTCTTTTGAACAATTGCAGGTGAATCTTTGGAGCGCTTTGAAGCCTTTGTTGGAAATAGGAATATATTCACACACAAACTAGCCAGAAACATTCTCAGAAACTTCTTTGTAATGTGTGCGTTGAACCCAGAGAGATGAACCTTTCCTTTGATAGAGCTGTTTTGAAACGTGTTTTTCTAACATCTGCAAGCGGATAATTGGCTTCGCGTTGCGTCCTTTGGTGGAAACGGGAATATCTTCTAATAAAAACTAGACAGAAATATTCTCAGAATCTTCTTTGTGATGTGGGCATTCAACTAACACAGTTGAACATTTCTTTTCACAGAGCAGTTTTGAAAGACTCTTTTGGTAGAATCTGCCAGTGGATATTTGGAGCGCTTTGAGGGCTATTGTGCCAATGGAAATATCTTCCCCTAAAAACTAGACAGAAGCATTCTCAGAAACTGCTTCGTGATGTTTGCATTCAACTCACAGGGTTGAACATACCTCTGCATAGAGCAGTTTTGAAAACCTCTTTTTGAAGAATCTGCAAGTGGATATTCGGACCACTTTGAGGCCTTCATAGGAAACAGTAATATCTTCACATAAAAACTAGATAGAGTAAGCATTGTCAGAAAGTTCTTTGTGATGTGTGAATTCAACTCACAGAGTTGAACCTTCCTTTAATAGAGCAGTTTTGAAACACTCTTCTTCTAGAATCTGCAAGTAGATATTTGGAGCGCTTTGAGGCCTTCGTTGGAAACCGGAATATCTTCACAGAAAAAGTAGATAGAGGCATTCTCAGAAACTTTTTTTGTGATATGTAGATTCAACTCACAGCGTTGAACCTTTCTTTGGATGGAGCAGTTTTGAAAACCTCTTTTATCGAATCTGCAGGTAGACATTCGGGGTGCTTTGAGGGCTGTGGTGCAAAAGGAAATGTCTTCCCATAGAAACTAGACTGAAGCATTCTCAGCAACTTCTTGGTGACGTTTGCATTCACCTCACAGTGTTGAACATACCTTTCCATAGAGTGGTTTTGAAACACTGTTTTTGTAGAATCGGCAAGTGGATATTTGGACTGCTTTGAGGCCTTCATCGGAAACGGGAATATCTTCACATAAACACTAGAGAGAAGCATTCTAAGAAACTTCTTTGTGATCTGTCCATTCAACTCACAGAGTTGAACCTTCCTTTTTATGGAGCAGTTTTGAATCACTGTTTTTGGAGAATCTGCAAGTGGATATTTGGAGCGATTTGAGGCCTATGGTAGAAAAAGAAATATCTGCCTCTAAAATCCAGACAGAAGCATTCTGAGAAACTTCTCTGTGATGTTTGCATTCAACTACCAGAGGTGAACCTTCCCTTTGATAGGGCAGTTTGGAAACACTCATTTGGAGAATCTGCATGTGGATATCTGGAGCGATTTGAGGCCTACGGTCCAAAAGGAAATATCTTCCTGGGAAAAATAGACGAAAGCATTCTCAGGAACTGCTTTGTGATATGTGCATTCGACTCTCCGAGTTGAAACTTTTTTTGGATAGAGCAGCTTTGAAACACTCTGTAGAATCTGAAAGTGGATATTTGGAGCTCTTTGAGGGCTATGGCAGAAAAGAAAAGATATTCACATTAAACTAGACAGCAGCATTCCCAGAAACTTCTTTAGGATGTTTGCAGTAAACTCACAGAGTTGAACATACCTTTCCGTAGAGCAGCTTTGAAACACTCTGTGTGTGGGATCCGCAAGTGGATATTTGGACCGCTTTGAGACCTTTGCTGGAAACGGGAATATCTTCACAGATAAACTGGACAGAAGCATTCTCAGAAACTTCTTCGTGATGTGTGCATTCTACTCCCAAATTTGAATCTTCCTTTTCATGAAGCAGTTTTGAAACACTCCGTTTGTGTAATCTACAATTGGATAACTGGAACGCTTTGATGCCCATTGTAGAAAAGGAAATAACCTCATATAAAAACTAGACAGAAGGATTCACAGAAAATGCTTTGTGATTTGTGCATTCAAATCACGGAGTTGAATCTTTCTTTTGTTAGAGCAGTTTTGAAACACTGTTTCTGTGGAATCTGCCAGCGGACACTTGGAGCGCTTTGAGGGCTATGGTGGAGAAGGAAATATCTTCACATAAAAACTAGAAAGAGGCATTCTCAGAAACTTTTGTGTGATATGTAGATTCAACTCACAGCGTTGAACCTTCCTTTTGATAGAACAGTTTTGAAACACTCTTTTGAACAATTGCAGGTGAATATTTGGAGCGCTTTGAAGCCTTTGTTGGAAATGGGAATATCTTCACACACAAAGTAGCCAGAAGCATTCTCAGAAACTTCTTTGTGATGTGTGCGTTGAACCCAGAGAGATGAACCTTTCCTTTGATAGAGCAGTTTTGAAACGTGTTTTTGTAAGATCGGCAAGCGGATAATTGGCTTCGCTTTGTGTCCTTTCGTGGAAACGGGAATATCTTCTAATAAAAACTAGACAGAAATATTCTCAGAATCTCCTTTGTGATGTGGGCATTCAACTAACACAGTTGAACATTTCTTTTCACAGAGCAGTTTTGAAACACTCTTTTGGTAGAATCTGCCAGTGGATATTTGGAGCGCTTGGAGGGCTGTTGTGCCAATGGAAATATCTGCCCCTGAAAACTAGACAGAAGCATTCTCAGAAACTGCTTTGTGATGTTTGCATTCAACTCACAGAGTTGAACATACCTTTTCATAGAGCAGTTTTGAAAACCTCTTTTTGTAGAATCTGCAAGAGGATATTCGGACCACTTTGAGGCCTTCATAGGAAACAGTAATATCTTCACATAAAAACTAGATGGAAGCATTGTCAGGAAGTTCTTTGTGATGTGTGAATTCAACTCACAGAGTTGAACTTTCCTTTAATAGAGCAGTGTTGAAACACTCTTTTTCTAGAATCTGCAAGTAGATATTTGGAGCGCTTGGAGGCCTTCGTTGTAAACCGGAATATCTTCAGAGGAAATGTAGATAGAGGCATTCTCAGAAACTTTTTCGTGATATGTGGATTCAACTCACAGCGTTGAACCTTTCTTTTGATAGAGCAGTTTTGTAAAACTCTTTTATCGAATCTGCAAGTAGACATTTGGAGTGCTTTGGAGGCTGTGGTGCAAAAGGAAATGTCTTCCCATAGAAACTAGACTGAAGCATTCTCAGCAACTTCCTTGTGACGTTTGCATTCATCTCACAGTGTTGAACATACCTTTCCATAGAGCAGTTTTGAAACACTATTTTTGTAGAATCTGCAAGTGGATATTTGGACTGCTTTGAGGCCTTCATCGGAAACGGGAATATCTTCACATAAACACTAGACAGAAGCATTCTCAGAAACTTCTTTGTGGTCTGTCCATTCAACTCACAGAGTTGAACCTTCCTTTTTATGGAGCAGTTTTGAAACACTGTTTTTGGAGGATCTGCAAGTGGATATTTGGAGCGCTTTGAGGCCTATGGTAGAAAAAGAAATATCGGCCTATGACAACTAGACAGAAGCATTCTGAGAAACTTCTTTGTGATGTTTGCATTCAACTACCAGAGTTGAACCTTCCTTTTAATAGGGCAGTTTGGAAACACTCTTTTTGTAGAATCTGCATGTGGATATCTGGAGCGATTTGAGGCCTACGGTCCAAAAGGAAATATCTTCCTGGGAAAAATAGACGAAAGCATTCTCAGAAACTGCTTTGTGATATGTGCATTCGACTGACCGAGTTGAAACTTTTTTTTGATAGAGCAGTTTTGAAACACTCTGTAGAATCTGAAAGTGGATATTTGGAGCTCTTTGAGGGCTATGGCGGCAAAGAAACTATATTCACATTAAAGTAGACAGCAGCATTCTCAGAAACTTCTTTAGGATGTCTGCAGTAAACTCACAGAGTTGAACATACCTTTCCGTAGAGCAGTTTTGAAACACTCTGTTTGTGGGGTCCGCAAGTGGATATTTGGACAGCTTTGAGATCTTTGCTGGAAATGGGAATATCTTCACATATAAACTAGACAGAAGCATTCTCAGAAACTTCTTCGTGATGTGTGCATTCTACTCCCGAATTTGAATCTTCCTTTTCATGAAGCAGTTTTGAAACACTCTGTTTGTGCAATCCACAATTGGATAATTGGAACACTTTGATGCCAATGGTAGAAAAGGAAATAGCCTCATATAAAAACTAGACAGAAGGATTCACAGAAAATGCTTTGTGATGTGTGCATTCAAATCACGGAGTTGAATCTTTCTTTTGTCAGAGTAGTTTTGAAACACTGTTTCTGTGGGATCTGCCAGCGGACACTTGGAGCGCTTTGAGGGCTGTGGTGGAGAAGGAAATATCTTCCCATAAAAACTAGAAAGAAGCATTCTGAGAACCATTTATGTGAAGCGTGCGTTCAACTCACAGAGTTGAACCTTCCTTTTGATAGAACAGTTTTGAAACACTCTTTTGAACAATTGCAGGTGAATATTTGGAGGGCTTTGAAGCCTTTGTTGGAAATGGGAATATCTTCACACACAAACTAGCCAGAAGCATTCTCAGAAACTTCTTTGTGATGTGTGCGTTGAACCCAGAGAGATGAACCTTTCCTTTGATAGAGCAGTTTTGAAACGTGTTTTTGTAAGATCTGCAAGCGGATAATTGGCTTCGCTTTGTGTCGCTTGGTGGAAACGGGAATATCTTCTAATAAAAACTAGACAGAAATATTCTCAGAATCTTCTTTGTGATGTGGGCATTCAACTAACACAGTTGAAACTTTCTCTTCACAGAGCAGTTTTGATACACTCTTTTGGTAGAATCTGCCAGTGGATATTTGGAGCGCTTTGAGGACTATTGTGCCAACGGAAATATCTGCCCCTAAAAACTAGACAGAAGCATTCTCAGAAATTACTTTGTGATGTTTGCATTCAACTCACAGATTTGAAAATACCTCCTCATAGAGCAGTTTTGAAAACATCTTTTTGTAGAATCTGCAAGTGGATATTCGGACCACTTTGAGGCCTTCATAGGAAACAGTAATATCTTCACAGAAAAACTAGATAGAAGCATTGTCAGAAAGTTCTTTGTAATGTGTGAATTCAACTCACAGAGATGAACCTTCCTTTAATAGAGCAATTTTGAAACACTCTTTTTCCAGAGTCTGCAAGTAGATATTTGGAGCGCTTTGAGGCCTTCGTTGGAAACCGGAATACCTTCACATAAAAAGTAGATAGAGGCATTCTCAGAAACTTTTTTGTGATATGTAGATTCATCTGACAGCGTTGAACCTTTCTTTTGATAGAGCAGTTTTGAAAAACTCTTTTGTCGAATCTGCAAGTAGACATTTGGAGTGCTTTGAGGGCTGTGGTGCCAAAGGAAATGTCTTCCCATGGAAACTAGACTGAAGCATTCTCAGCAACTTCTTTGTGACGTTTGCATTCATCTCACAGTGTTGAACATATCTTTCCATAGAGTAGTTTTGAAACACTGTTTTTGTAGAATCGGCAAGTGGATATTTGGACTGCTTTGAGGCCTTCATCGGAAACGGGAATATCTTCACATAAACACTAGAGAGAAGCATTCTCAGAAACTTCTTTGTCATCTGTCCATTCAACTCACAGAGTTGAAACTTCCTTTTTATGGAGCAGTTTTGAAACACTCCTTTTGGAGAATCTGCAAGTGGATATTTGGAGCGCTTTGAGGCCTACGGTAGAAAAAGAAATATCTGCCTCTAAAAACCAGACAGAAGCATTCCGAGAAACTTCTTTGTGATGTTTGCATTCAACTAGCAGAGTTGAATCCTTCCTTTTGCATAGGGCAGTTTGGAAACTCTCTTTTTGTAGAATCTGCATGTGGATATCTGGAGCGGTTTGAGGCCTACGGTCAAAAAGGAAATATCTTCCTGGGAAAAATAGACGAAAGCATTCTCAGAAACTGCTTTGTGATATGTGCATTCGACTCACCGAGTTGAAACTTTTTTTTGATAGAGCAGTTTTGAAACACTCTGTAGAATCTGAAAGTGGATATTTGGAGCTCTTTGAGGGCTATGGCGGAAAAGAAACTATATTCACATTAAAGTAGACAGCAGCATTCCCAGAAACTTCTTTAGGATGTTTGCAGTAAACTCACAGACTTGAACATACCTTTCCGTAGAGCAGTTTTGAAACACTCTGTTTGTGGGATCCGCAAGTGGATATTTGGACCCCTTTGAGACCTTTGCTGGAAACGGGAATATCTTCACATATAAACTAGACAGAAGCATTCTCAGAAATTTCTTGGTGATGTGTGCATTGTACTCCCAAATTTGAATCTTCCTTCTCATGGAGCAGTTTTCAAACACTCTGTTTGTGCAATCTACAATTGGAGAATTGGAACGCTCGGAGGCCCGTGGTAGAAAAGGAAATATCCTCATATAAAAACTAGACAGAAGGATTCACAGAAAATGCTTTGTGATGTGTGCATTCAAATCACGGGGTTGAATCTTTCTTTTGTTAGAGCAGTTTTGAAACACTGTTTCTGTGGAATCTGCCAGCGGACACTTGGAGCGCTTTGAGGGCCATGGTGGAGAAGGAAATATCTTTCCATAAAAACTAGAAAGAAGCATTCTCGGAAACATTTATGTGAAGCATGCATTCAACTCACAGAGTTGAACCTTCCTTTTGATAGAACAGTTTTGAAACACTCTTTTTAACAATTGCAGGTGAATCTTTGGAGCGCTTTGAAGGCTTTGTTGGAAATGGGAATATCTTCACACACAAACTAGCCAGAAGCATTCTCAGAAACTTCTTTGTGATGTGTGCGTTGAACCCAGAGAGATGAACCTTTCCTTTGATAGAGCAGTTTGGAAACGTGTTTTTGTAAGATCTGCAAGCTGATAATTGGCTTCGCTTTGTGTCCTTTGGTGGAAACGGGAATATCTTCTAATAAAAACTAGACAGAAATATTCTCAGAATCTTCTTTGTGATGTGGGCATTCAACTAACACAGTTGAACCTTTCTTTTCACAGAGCAGTTTGGAAACACCCTTTTGGTAGAATCTGCCAGTGGATATTTGGAGCGCTTTCAGGGCTATTGTGCCAACGGAAATATCTGCCCCTAAAAACTAGACAGAAGCATTCTCAGAAACTGCTTCGTGATGTTTGCATTCAACTCACAGGGTTGAACATACCTCTGCATAGAGCAGTTTTGAAAACCTCTTTTTGTAGAATCTGCAAGTGGATATTCGGACCACTTTGAGGCCTTCATAGGAAACAGTAATATCTTCACATAAAAACTAGATAGAAGCATTGTCAGAAAGTTCTTTGTGATGTGTGAATTCAACTCACAGCGTTGAACCTTCCTTTATTAGAGCAGTTTTGAAACACTCTTTTTCTAGAATCTGCCAGTAGATATTTGGAGCGCTTTGAGGCCTTCGTTGGAAACCGGAATATCTTCACATAAAACGTAGATAGAGGCATTCTCAGAATCTCTTTGTGATATGTAGATTCAACTCACAGCGTTGAACCTTTCTTTCGATGGAGCAGTTTTGAAAAACTCTTTTATCGAATCTGCAGGTAGACATTTGGGGTGCTTTGAGGGCTGTGGTGCAAAAGGAAATGTCTTCCCATAGAAACTAGACTGAAAGCATTCTCAGCAACTTCTTTGTGACGTTTGCATTCATCTCACAGTGTTGAACATACCTTTCCATAGAGTAGTTTTGAAACACTGTTTTTGTAGAATCGGCCAGTGGATATTTGGACTGCTTTGAGGCCTTCATCGGAAACGGGAATATCTTCACATAAACACTAGAGAGAAGCATTCTCAGAAACTTCTTTGTGATCTGTCCATTCAACTCACAGAGTTGAACCTTCCTTTTTATGGAGCAGTTTTGAAACACTCCTTTGGGAGAATCTGCAGGTGGATATTTGGAGCGCTTTGAGGCCTATGGTAGAAAAAGAAATATCTGCCTCTAAAAACCAGACAGAAGCATTCCGAGAAACTTCTTTGCGATGTTTGCATTCAACTAGCAGAGTTGAACTTTCCATTTGATAGGGCAGTTTGGAAACACTCTTTTTGTAGAATCTGCATGTGGATATCTGGAGCGGTTTGAGGCCTATGGTCAAAAAGGAAATATCTTCCTGGGAAAAATAGACGAAAGCATTCTCAGAAACTGCTTTGTGATATGCGCATTCAACTCACCGAGTTGAAACTTTTTTTTGATAGAGCAGTTTTGAAACACTCTGTAGAATCTGAAAGTGGATATTTGGAGCTCTTTGAGGGCTATGGCGGAAAAGAAAATATATTCACATTAAAGTAGACAGCAGCATTCTCAGAAACTTCTTTAGGATGTTTGCAGTAAACTCACAGAGTTGAACCTACCTTTCCGTAGAGCAGTTTTGAAACACTCTGTTTGTGGGATCCGCAAGTGGATATTTGGACCGCTTTGAGACCTTTGCTGGAAATGGGAATATCTTCACATATAAACTAGACAGAAGCATTCTCAGAAACTTCTTTGTGATGTGTGCATTGTACTCCCAAATTTGAATCTTCCTTCTCATGGAGCAGTTTTGAAACACTCTGTTTGTGCAATCTACAATTGGATAATTGGAACGCTTTGATGCCCATGGTAGAAAAGGAAATATCCTCATATAAAAACTAGACAGAAGGATTCACAGAAAATGCTTTGTGATGTGTGCATTCAAATCACGGAGTTGAATCTTTCTTTTGTCAGAGCAGTTTTGAAACACTGTTTCTGTGGAATCTGCCAGCGAACACTTGGAGCGCTTTGAGGGCTATGGTGGAGAAGGAAATATCTTCCCATAAAAACTAGAAAGAAGCATTCTCAGAACCATTTATGTGAAGCGTGCGTTCAACTCACAGAGTTGAACCTTCCTTTTGATAGAACAGTTTTGAAACACTCTTTTGAACAATTGCAGGTGAATATTTGGGGGGCTTTGAAGCCTTTGTTGGAAATGGGAATATCTTCACACACAAACTAGCCAGAAGCATTCTCAGAAACTTCTTTGTGATGTGCGCGTTGAACCCAGAGAGATGAACCTTTCCTTTGATAGAGCAGTTTTGAAACGTGTTTTTGTAAGATCGGCAAGCGGATAATTGGCTTCGCTTTGTGTCCTTTGGTGGAAACGGGAATATCTTCTAATAAAAACTAGACAGAAATATTCTCACAATCATCTTTGTGATGTGGGCATTCAACTAACACAGTTGAACATTTCTTTTCACAGAGCAGTTTGGAAACACTCTTTTGCTAGAATCTGCCAGTGGATACTTGGAGCGCTTTGAGGGTATTGTGCCAATGGAAATATCTTCCCCTAAAAACTAGACAGAAGCATTCTCAGAAACTACTTTGTGATGTTTGCATTCAACTCACAGAGTTGAACATACCTCTTCATAGAGCAGTTTTGAAAACCTCTTTTTGTAGAATCTGCAAGTGGATATTCGGACCACTTTGAGGCCTTCATAGGAAACAGTAATATCTTCACATAAAAACTAGATAGAAATATTCTCAGAATCTTCTTTGTGATGTGGGCATTAAACTCACAGATTTGAACCTTCCTTTAATAGAGCAGTTTTGAAACACACTTTTTCTAGAATCTGCAAGTAGATATTTGGAGCGCTTTGAGGCCTTCGTTGGAAACCGGAATATCTTCACAGGAAAAGTAGATAGAGGCATTCTCAGAAACTTTTTTGTGATATGTAGATTCAACTCACAGCGTTGAACCTTTCTTTGGATGGAGCAGTTTTGAAAAACTCTTTTATCGAATCTGCAGGTAGACATTTGGGGTGCTTTGAGGGCTCTGGTGCAAAAGGAAAAGTCTTCCCATAGAAACTAGACTGAAGCATTCTCAGCAACTTCTTGTTGACGTTTGCATTCATCTCACAGTGTTGAACATACCTTTCCATAGAGTGGTTTTGAAACACTGTTTTTGTAGAATCGGCAAGTGGATATTTGGACTGCTTTGAGGCCTTCATCGGAAACGGGAATATCTTCCATAAACACTAGAGAGAAGCATTCTCAGAAACTTCTTTGTGGTCTGTCCATTCAACTCACAGAGTTGAACCTTCCTTTTTATGGAGCAGTTTTGCAACACTGTTTTCGGAGAATCTGCAAGTGGATATTTGGAGCGCTTTGAGGCCTATGGTAGAAAAAGAAATATCTGCCTATGACAACTAGACAGAAGCATTCTGAGAAACTTCTTTGTGATGTTTGCATTCAACTACCAGAGGTGAACCTTCCTTTTGATAGGGCAGTTTGGAAACACTCTTTTTGTAGAATCTGCATGTGGATATCTGGAGCGATTTGAGGCCTACGGTCCAAAAGGAAATATCTTCCTGGGAAAAATAGACGAAAGCATTCTCAGAAACTGCTTTGTGATATGTGCATTCGACTCTCCGAGTTGAAACTTTTTTTGGATAGAGCAGTTTTGAAACACTCTGTAGAATCTGAAAGTGGATATTTAGAGCTCTTTGAGGGCTATGGCGGAAAAGAAAAGATATTCACATTAAACTAGACAGCAGCATTCTCAGAAACTTCTTTAGGATGTTTGCAGTAAACTCACAGAGTTGAACATACCTTTCCGTAGAGCAGTTTTGAAACACTCTGTTTGTGGGATCTGCAAGTGGATATTTGGACCGCTTTGAGACCTTTGCTGGAAATGGGAATATCTTCACGTATAAACTAGACAGAAGCATTCTCAGAAACTTCTTCGTGATGTGTGCATTGTTCTCCCAAATTTGAATCTTCCTTCTCATGGAGCAGTTTTGAAACACTCTGTTTGTGCAATCTACAATTGGAGAATTGGAACGCTTGCATGCCCGTGGTAGAAAAGGAAATATCCTCATATAAAAACTAGACAGAAGGATTCACAGAAAATGCTTTGTGATGTGTGCATTCAAATCACGGAGTTGAATCTTTCTTTTGTTAGAGCAGTTTTGAAACACTGTTTCTGTGGAATCTGCCAGCGGACACTTGGAGCGCTTTGAGGGCTGTGGTGGAGAAGGAAATATCTTCCCATAAAAACTAGAAAGAAGCATTCTCAGAAACATTTATGTGAAGCGTGCATTCAACTCACAGAGTTGTACCTTCCTTTTGATACAACAGTTTTGAAACACTCTTTTGAACAATTGCAGGTGAATCTTTGGAGCGCTTTGAAGCCTTTGTTGGAAATGGGAATATCTTCACACACAAACTAGCCAGAAGCATTCTCAGAAACTTCTTTGTGATGTGTGCGTTGAACCCAGAGAGATGAACCTTTCCTTTGATAGAGCAGTTTTGAAACGTGTTTTTGTAAGATCGGCAAGCGGATAATTGGCTTCGCTTTGTGTCCTTTGGTGGAAACGGGAATATCCTCTAATAAAAACTAGACAGAGATATTCTCAGAAACTTCTTTGTGATGTGGGCATTCAACTAACACAGTCGAACATTTCTTTTCACAGAGCAGTTTTGAAACACTCTTTTGGTCGAATCTGCCAGTGGATATTTGGAGCGCTTTGAGGGCTATTATGCCAATGGAAATATCTGCCCCTAAAAACTAGACAGAAGCATTCTCAGAAACTGTTTTGTGATGTTTGCATTCAACTCACAGAGGTGAACATACCTCTTCATAGAGCAGTTTTGAAAACCTCTTTTTGTAGAATCTGCAAGTGGATATTCGGACCACTTTGAGGCCTTCATAGGAAACAGTAATATCTTCACATAAAAACTAGATAGAAGCATTGTCAGAAAGTTCTTTGTGATGTGTGAATTCAACTCACAGAGTTGAACCTTCCTTTAATAGAGCAGTTTTGAAACACTCTTTTTCTAGAATCTGCAAGTAGATATTTGGAGCGCTTTGAAGCCTTCGTTGGAAACCGGAATATCTTCACATAAAAAGTAGATAGAGACATGCTCAGAAACTTTTATGTCATATGTAGATTCAACTCACAGCGTTGAACCTTTCTTTTGATAGAGCAGTTTTGAAAAACTCTTTTATCGAATCTGCAAGTAGACATTTGGAGTGCTTTGAGGGCTCTGGTGCAAAAGGAAATGTCTTCCCATAGAAACTAGACTGAAGCATTCTCAGCAACTTCTTTGTGACGTTTGCATTCATCTCACAGTGTTGAACATACCTTTCCATAGAGTACTTTTGAAACACTGTTTTTGTAGAATCTGCAAGTGGATATTTGGACTGCTTTGAGGCCTTCATCGGAAACGGGAATATCTTCACATAAACACTAGAGAGAAGCATTCTCAGAAACTTCTTTGTCATCTGTCCATTCAACTCACAGAGTTGAACCTTCCTTTTTATGGAGCAGTTTTGAAACACTCCTTTTGGAGAATCTGCAAGTGGATATTTGGAGCGCTTTGAGGCCTATGGTAGAAAAAGAAATATCTGCCTCTAAAAACCAGACAGAAGCATTCCGAGAAACTTCTTTGTGATGTTTGCATTCAACTAGCAGAGTTGAACCTTCCTTTTGATAGGGCAGTTTGGGAACACTCTTTTTGTAGAATCTGCATGTGGATATCTGGAGCGGTTTGAGGCCTACGGTCAAAAAGGAAATATCTTCCTGAGAAAAATAGACGAAAGCATTCTCAGAAACTGCTTTGTGATATGTGCATTCGACTCACCGAGTTGAAACTTTTTTTGGATAGAGCAGTTTTGAAACACTCTTTAGAATCTGAAAGTGGATATTTGGAGCTCCTTGAGGGCTATGGCGGAAAAGAAAATATATTCACATTAAACTAGACAGCAGCATTCTCAGAAACTTCTTTAGGATGTTTGCAGTAAACTCACAGAGTTGAACCTACCTTTCCATAGAGCAGTTTTGAAACACTCTGTTTGTGGGATATGCAAGTGGATATTTGGACAGCTTTGAGAACTTTGCTGGAAATGGGAATATCTTCACATATAAACTAGACAGAAGCATTCTCAGAAACTTCTTCGTGATGTGTGCATTCTACTCCCGAATTTGAATCTTCCTTTTCATGAAGCAGTTTTGAAACACTCTGTTTGTGCAATCCACAATTGGATAATTGGAACGCTTTGATGCCCATGGTAGAAAAGGAAATATCCTCATATAAAAACTAGACAGAAGGATTCACAGAAAATGCTTTGTGATGTGTGCATTCAAATCACGGAGTTGAATCTTTCTTTTGTTAGAGCAGTATTGAAACACTGTTTCTGTGGAATCTGCCAGCGGACACTTGGAGCGCTTTGAGGGCTACGGTGGAGAAGGAAATATCTTCACATAAAAACTAGAAAGAAGCATTCTCAGAAACATGTATGTGAAGCGTGAATTCAACTCACAGTGTTGAACCTTCCTTTTGATAGAACAGTTTTGAAACACTCTTTTGAACAATTGCAGGTGAATCTTTGGAGCGCTTTGAAGCCAGTGTTGGAAATGGGAATATCTTCACACACAAACTAGCCAGAAGCATTCTCAGAAACTTCTTTGTGATGTGTGCGTTGAACCCAGAGAGATGAACCTTTCCTTTGAAAGAGCAGTTTTGAAACGTGTTTTTGTAAGATCTGCAAGCGGATGGTTGGCTTCGCTTTGTGTCCTTTGGTGGAAACGGGAATATCTTCTAATAAAAACTAGACAGAAAATATTCTCAGAATCTTCTTTGTGATGTGGGCATTCAACTAACACAGTTGAACATTTCTTTTCACAGAGCAGTTTTGAAACACTCTTTTGGTAGAATCTGCCAGTGGATATTTGGAGCGCTTGGAGGGCTATTGTGCCAATGGAAATATCTGCCCCTGAAAACTAGACAGAAGCATTCTCAGAAACTACTTCGTGATGTCTGCATTCAACACACAGAGTTGAACATACCTCTTCACAGAGCAGTTTTGAAAACCTCTTTCTGTAGAATCTGCAAGTGGATATTCGGACCACTTTGAGGCCTTCATAGGAAACAGTAATATCTTCACATAAAAACTAGATAGAAGCATTGTCAGAAAGTTCTTTGTGATGTGTGAATTCAACTCACAGAGTTGAACCTTCCTTTAATAGAGCAGTTTTGAAACACTCATTTTCTAGAATCTGCAAGTAGATATTTGGAGCGCTTTGAGGCCTTCGTTGGAAACCGGAATATCTTCACAGGAAATGTAGATAGAGGCATTCTCAGAAACTTTTTCGTGATATGTGGATTCAACTCACAGCGTTGAACCTTTCTTTTGATAGAGCAGTTTTGTAAAACTCTTTTATCGAATCTGCAAGTAGACATTTGGAGTGCTTTCAGGGCTGTGGTGCAAAAGGAAATGTCTTCCCATAGAAACTAGACTGAAGCCTTCTCAGCAACTTCATTGTGACGTTTGCATTCATCTCACAGTGTTGAACATACCTTTCCATAGAGTAGTTTTGAAGCACTATTTTTGTAGAATCTGCAAGTGGATATTTGGACTGCTTTGAGGCCTTCATCGGAAACGGGAATATCTTCACATAAACACTAGACAGAAGCATTCTCAGAAACTTCTTTGTGGTCTGTCCATTCAACTCACAGAGTTGAACCTTCCTTTTTATGGAGCAGTTTTGAAACACTGTTTTTGGAGGATCTGCAAGTGGATATTTGGAGCGCTTTGAGGCCTATGGTAGAAAAAGAAATATCTGCCTATGACAACTAGACAGAAGCATTCCGAGAAACTTCTTTGTGATGTTTGCATTCAACTAGCAGAGTTGAACCTTCCTTTTGATGGGGCAGTTTGGAAACACTCTTTTTGTAGAATCTGCATGTGGATATCTGGAGCGGTTTGAGGCCTACGGTCAAAAAGGAAATATCTTCCTGGGAAAAATAGACGAAAGCATTCTCAGAAGCTGCTTTGTGATATGTGCATTCAACTCACCGAGTTGAAACTTTTTTTGGATAGAGCAGTTTTGAAACACTCTGTAGAATCTGAAAGTGGATATTTGGAGCTCTTTGAGGGCTATGGCGGAAAAGAAAATATATTCACATTAAACTAGACAGCAGCATTCTCAGAGACTTCTTTAGGATGTTTGCAGTAAACTCACAGAGTTGAACATACCTTTCCGTAAAGCAGTTTTGAAACCTTCTGTTTGTGGGATCTGCAAGTGGATATTTGGACCGCTTTGAGACCTTTGCTGGAAATGGGAATATCTTCACATATAAACTAGACAGAAACATTCTCAGAAACTTCTTCGTGACGTGTGCATTGTACTCCCAAATTTGAATCTTGCTTCTCATGGAGCAGTTTTGAAACACTCTGTTTGTGCAATCTACAATTGGAGAATTGGAAGGCTTGGATGCCCGTGGTAGAAAAGGAAATATCCTCATATAAAAACTAGACAGAAGGATTCACAGAAAATGCTTTGTGATGTGTGCATTCAAATCACGGGGTTGAATCTTTCTTTAGTCAGAGCAGTTTTGAAACACTGTTTCTGTGGAATCTGCCAGCGGACACTTGGAGCGCTTTCAGGGCTATGGTGGAGAAGGAAATATCTTCCCATAAAAACTAGAAAGAAGCATTCTCAGAAACATTTATGTGAAGCGTGCATTCAACTCACAGAGTTGAACCTTCCTTTTGATAGAAGAGTTTTGAAACACCCTTTTGAACAATTGCAGGTGAATCTTTGGAGCGCTTTGAAGCCTTTGTTGGAAATGGGAATATCTTCACACACAAACTAGCCAGAAGCATTCTCAGAAACTTCTTTGTGATGTGTGCGTTGAACCCAGAGAGATGAACCTTTCCTTTGATAGAGCAGTTTTGAAACGTGTTTTTGTAAGATCTGCAAGCGGATAATTGGCTTCGCTTTGTGTCCTTCGGTGGAAACGGGAATATCTTCTAATAAAAACTAGACAGAGATATTCTCAGAAACTTCTTTGTGATGTGGGCATTCAACTAACACAGTCGAACATTTCTTTTCACAGAGCAGTTTTGAAACACTCTTTTGGTCGAATCTGCCAGTGGATATTTGGAGCGCTTTGAGGGCTATTGTGCCAATGGAAATATCTGCCCCTAAAAACTAGACAGAAGCATTCTCAGAAACTACTTCGTGATGTCTGCATTCAACACACAGAGTTGAACATACCTCTTCAGAGAGCAGTTTTGAAAACCTCTTTCTGTAGAATCTGCAAGTGGATATTCGGACCACTTTGAGGCCTTCATAGGAAACAGTAATATCTTCACATAAAAACTAGATAGAAGCATTGTCAGAAAGTTCGTTGTGATGTGTGAATTTAACTCACAGAGTTGAAGCTTCCTTTAATAGAGCAGTTTTGAAACACTCTTTTTCTAGAGTCTGCAAGTAGATATTTGGAGCGCTTTGAGGCCTTCGTTGGAAACCGGAATATCTTCACATAAAAAGTAGATAGAGGCATTCTCAGAAACTTTTTTGTGATATGTAGATTCAACTCACAGCGTTGAACCTTTCTTTTGATAGAGCAGTTTTGAAAAACGCTTTTATCGAATCTGCCAGTAGACCTTTTGAGTGCTTTGAGGGCTGTGGTGCAAAAGGAAATGTCTTCCCATAGAAACTAGACTGAAAGCATTCTCAGCAACTTCTTGGTGACGTTTGCATTCATCTCACAGTGTTGAACATACCTTTCCATAGAGTAGTTTTGAAACACTGTTTTTGTAGAATCGGCAAGTGGATATTTGGACTGCTTTGAGGCCTTCATCGGAAACGGGAATATCTTCACATAAACACTAGAGAGAAGCATCCTCAGAAACTTATTTGTCATCTGTCCATTCAACTCACAGATTTGAACCTTCCTTTTTCTGCAGCAGTTTTGAAACACTCTTTTTGGAGAATCTGCAAGTGGATATTTGGAGCGCTTTGAGGCCTATGGTAGAAAAAGAAATATCTGCCTCTAAAAACCAGACAGAAGCATTCTGAGAAACTTCTTTGTGATGTTTGCCTTCAACTACCAGAGTTGAACCTTCCTTTTGATAGGGCAGTTTGGAAACACTCTTTTTGTAGAATCTGCATGTGGATATCTGGAGCGATTTGAGGCCTACGGTCCAAAAGGAAATGTCTTCCTGGGAAAGATAGACGAAAGCATTCTCAGAAAGTGCTTTGTGATATGCGCATTCGACTCACCGAGTTGAAACTTTTTTTTGATACAGCAGTTTTGAAACACTCTGTAGAATCTGAAAGTGGATATTTGGAGCTCTTTGAGGGCTATGGCGGAAAAGAAAATATATTCACATTAAAGTAGACAGCAGCATTCTCAGAAACTTCTTTAGGATGTTTGCAGTAAACTCGCAGAGTTGAACATACCTTTCCGTAGAGCAGTTTTGAAACACTCTGTTTGTGGGATCCGCAAGTGGATATTTGGACCGCTTTGAGACCTTTGCTGGAAATGGGAATATCTTCACGTATAAACTAGACAGAAGCATTCTCAGAAACTTCTTCGTGATGTGTGCATTCTACTCCCGAATTTGAATCTTCCTTTTCATGAAGCAGTTTTGAAACACTCTGTTTGTGCAATCCACAATTGGATAATTGGAACGCTTTGATGTCCCATGGTAGAAAAGGAAATATCCTCATATAAAAACTAGACAGAAAGATTCACAGAAAATGCTTTGTGATGTGTGCATTCAAATCACGGAGTTGAATCTTTCTTTTGTCAGAGCAGTTTTGAAACACTGTTTCTGTGGAATCTGCCAGCGGACACTTGGAGCACTTTGAGGGCTATGGTGGAGAAGGAAATATCTTCCCATAAAAACTAGAAAGAAGCATTCTCAGAACCATTTATGTGAAGCATGCATTCAACTCATAGAGTTGAACTTTCCTTTTGATAGAACAGTTTTGAAACACTCTTTTGAACAATTGCAGGTGAATATTTGGAGGGCTTTGAAGCCTTTGTTGGAAACGGGAATATCTTCACACACGAACTAGCCAGAAGCATTCTCAGAAACTTCTTTGTGATGTGTGCGTTGAACCCAGAGAGATGAACCTTTCCTTTGATAGAGCAGTTTTGAAACGTGTTTTTGTAAGATCTGCAAGCGGATAATTGGCTTCGCTTTGTGTCCTTTGGTGGAAACGGGAATATCTTCTAATAAAAACTAGACAGAGCGATATTCTCAGAAACTTCTTTGTGATGTGGGCATTCAACTAATGCAGTTGAACATTTCTTTTCACAGAGCAGTTTTGAAACACTCTTTTGGTCGAATCTGCCAGTGGATATTTGGAGCGCTTTGAGGGCTATTGTGCCAATGGAAATATCTGCCCCTAAAAACTAGACAGAAGAATTCTCAGAAACTGCTTCGGGATGTTTGCATTCAACTCACAGAGTTGAACATACCTCTGCATAGAGCAGTTTTGAAAACCTCTTTTTGTAGAATCTGCAAGTGGATATTCGGACCACTTTGAGGCCTTCATGGGAAACAGTAATATCTTCACATAAAAACTAGATAGAAGCATTGTCAGAAAGTTCTTTGTGATGTGTGAATTCAACTCACAGAGTTGAACCTTCCTTTAATAGAGCAGTTTTGAAACACTCTTTTTCTAGAATCTGCCAGTAGATATTTGGAGCGCTTTGAGGCCTTCGTTGGAAACCGGAATATCTTCACATAAAAAGTAGATAGAGGCATTCTCAGAAACTTTTTTGTGATATGTAGATTCAGCTCACAGCGTTGAACCTTTCTTTTGATAGAGCAGTTTTGAAAAACTCTTTTATCGAATCTGCCAGTAGACATTTGGAGTGCTTTGAGGGCTGTGGTGCAAAAGGAAATGTCTTCCCATGGAAACTAGACTGAATCATTCTCAGCAACTTCTTGGTGACGTTTGCATTCATCTCACAGTGTTGAACATACCTTTGCATAGAGTAGTTTTGAAACACTATTTTTGTAGAATCTGCAAGTGGACATTTGGACTGCTTTGAGGCCTTCATCGGAAACGGGAATATCTTCACATAAACACTAGACAGAAGCATTCTCAGAAACTTCTTTGTGGTCTGTCCATTCAACTCACAGAGTTGAACCTTCCTTTATATGGAGCAGTTTTGAAACCCTGTTTTTGGAGAATCTGCAAGTGGATATTTGGAGCGCTTTGAGGCCTATGGTAGAAAAAGAAATATCTGCCTATCACAGCTAGACAGAAGCATTCTGAGAAAGTTCTTTGTGATGTTTGCATTCAACTACCAGGGTTGAACCTTCCTTTTGATAGGGCAGTTTGGAAACACTCTTTTTGTAGAATCTGCATGTGGATATCTGGAGCGATTTAAGGCCTAAGGTCCAAAAGGAAATATCTTCCTGGGAAAAATAGACGAAAGCATTCTCAGAAAGGGCTTTGTGATATGCGCATTCGACTCACCGAGTTGAAACTTTTTTTTGATAGAGCAGTTTTGAAACACTCTGTAGAACCTGAAAGTGGATATTTGGAGCTCTTTCAGGGCTATGGCGGAAAAGAAAATATATTCACATTAAAGTAGACAGCAGCATTCTCAGAAACTTCTTTAGGATGTTTGCAGTAAACTCACAGAGTTGAACCTACCTTTCCGTAGAGCAGTTTTGAAACACTCTGTTTGTGGGATCCGCAAGTGGATATTTGGGACCGCTTTGAGACCTTTGCTGGAAATGGGAATATCTTCACATATAAACTAGACAGAAGCATTCTCAGAAACTTCTTCGTGATGTGTGCATTGTACTCCCAAATTTGAATCTTCCTTCTTATGGAGCAGTTTTGAAACACTCTGTTTGTGCAATCTACAATTGGAGAATTGGAACGCTTGGATGCCCGTGGTAGAAAAGGAAATATCCTCATATAAAAACTAGACAGAAGGATTCACAGTAAAATGCTTTGTGATGTGTGCATTCAAATCACGGAGTTGAATCTTTCTTTTGTCAGAGCAGTTTTGAAACACTGTTTCTGTGGAATCTGCCAGCGGACACTTGGAGCGCTTTGAGGGCTATGGTGGAGAAGGAAATATCTTCCCATAAAAACTAGAAAGAAGCATTCTCAGAAACATTTATGTGAAGCGTGCATTCAGCTCACAGAGTTGAACCTTCCTTTTGATAGAACAGTTTTGAAACACTCTTTTGAACAATTGCAGGTGAATCTTTGAGCGCTTTGAAGCCTTTGTTGGAAATGGGAATATCTTCACACACAAACTAGCCAGAAGCATTCTCAGAGACTTCTTTGTGATGTGTGCGTTGAACCCAGAGAGATGAACCTTTCCTTTGATAGAGCAGTTTTGAAACGTGTTTTTGTAAGATCTGCAAGCGGATAGTTGGCTTCGCTTTGTGTCCTTTGGTGGAAACGGGAATATCTTCTAATAAAAACTAGACAGAAATATTCTCACAATCGTCTTTGTGATGTGGGCATTCAACTAACACAGTTGAACATTTCTTCTCACAGAGCAGTTTTGAAACACTCTTTTGCTAGAATCTGCCAGTGGATACTTGGAGCACTTTGAGGGCTATTGTGCCAATGGAGATATCTTCCCCTAAAAACTAGACAGAAGCATTCTCAGAAACTGCTTCGGGATGTTTGCATTCAACTCACAGAGTTGAACATACCTCTGCATAGAGCAGTTTTGAAAACCTCTTTTTGTAGAATCTGCAAGTGGATATTCGGACCACTTTGAGGCCTTCATGGGAAACAGTAATATCTTCACATAAAAACTAGATAGAAGCATTGTCAGAAAGTTCTTTGTGATGTGTGAATTCAACTCACAGAGTTGAACCTTCCTTCAATAGAGCAGTTGTGAAACACTCTTTTTCTAGAATCTGCAAGTAGATACTTGGAGCGCTTTGAGGCCTTCGTTGGAAACCGGAATATCTTCACAGGAAAAGTAGATAGAGGCATTCTCAGAAACTTTTTTGTGATATGTAGATTCAACTCACAGCGTTGAACCTTTCTTTTGATAGAGTAGTTTTGAAAAACTCTTTTATCGAATCTGCAAGTAGACATTTGGAGTGCTTTGAGGGCTGTGGTGCAAAAGGAAATGTCTTCCCATAGAAACTAGACTGAAATCATTCTCAGCAACTTCTTGGTGACGTTTGCATTCATCTCACAGTGTTGAACATACCTTTGCATAGAGTAGTTTCGAAACACTATTTTTGTAGAATCTGCAAGTGGACATTTGGACTGCTTTGAGGCCTTCATCGGAAACGGGAATATCTTCACATAAACACTAGACAGAAGCATTCTCAGAAACTTCTTGTCATCTGTCCATTCAACTCACAAAGTTGAACCTTCCTTTTTATGGAGCAGTTTTGAAACACTCCTTTTGGAGAATCTGCAAGTGGATATTTGGAGCGCTTTGAGGCCTATGGTAGAAAAAGAAATATCTGCCTCTAAAAACCAGACAGAAGCATTCTGAGAAACTTCTTTGTGATGTTTGCATTCAACTACCAGAGTTGAACCTTCCTTTTGATAGGGCAGTTTGGAAACACTCTTTTTGTAGAATCTGCATGTGGATATCTGGAGCGATTTGAGGCCTGCGGTCAAAAAGGAAATATCTTCCTGGGAAAAATAGACGAAAGCATTCTCAGAAACTGCTTTGTGATATGTGCATTCGACTCACCGAGTTGAAACTTTTTTTTGGTAGAGCAGTTTTGAAACACTCTGTAGAATCTGAAAGTGGATATTTGGAGCTCTTTGAGGGCTATGGCGGAAAAGAAAATATATTCACATTAAAGTAGACAGCAGCATTCCCAGAAACTTCTTTAGGATGTTTGCTGTAAACTCACAGAGTTGAACATACCTTTCCGTAGAGCAGCTTTGAAACACTCTGTGTGTGGGATCCGCAAGTGGATATTTGGACCGCTTTGAGACCTTTGCTGGAAACGGGAATATCTTCACATATAAACTGGACAGAAGCATTCTCAGAAACTTCTTCGTGATGTGTGCATTCTACTCCCAAATTTGAATCTTCCTTTTCATGAAGCAGTTTTGAAACACTCTATTTGTGCATTCTACAATTGGATGATTGGAACGCTTTGATGCCCATGGTAGAAAAGGAAATATCCTCATATAAAAACTAGACAGAAAGATTCACAGAAAATGCTTTGTGATGTGTGCATTCAAATCACGGAGTTGAATCTTTCTTTTGTTAGAGCAGTTTTGAAACACTGTTTCTGTGGAATCTGCCAGCGGACACTTGGAGCGCTTTGAGGGCTATGGTGGAGAAGGAAATATCTTCACATAAAAACTAGAAAGAAGCATTCTCAGAACCATTTATGTGAAGCGTGCATTCAACTCACAGAGTTGAACCTTCCTTTTGATAGAACAGTTTTGAAACACTCTTTTGAACAATTGCAGGTGAATATTTGGAGGGCTTTGAAGCCTTTTTTGGAAATGGGAATATCTTCACACACAAACTAGCCAGAAGCATTCTCAGAAACTTCTTTGTGATGTGTGCGTTGAACCCAGAAGAGATGAACCTTTCCTTTGATAGAGCAGTTTTGAAACGTGTTTTTGTAAGATCTGCAAGCGGATAGTTGGCTTCGCTTTGTGTCCTTTGGTGGAAACGGGAATATCTTCTAATAAAAACTAGACAGAGATATTCTCAGAAATTTCTTTGTGATGTGGGCATTCAACTAACACAGTCGAACATTTCTTTTCACAGAGCAGTTTTGAAACACTCTTTTGGTCGAATCTGCCAGTGGATATTTGGAGCGCTTTGAGGGCTATTGTGCCAATGGAAATATCTGCCCCTAAAAACTAGACAGAAGCATTCTCAGAAACTGCTCTGTGATGTTTGCATTCAACTCACAGAGTTGAACATACCTCTTCATAGAGCACTTTTGGAAACCTCTTTTTGTAGAATCTGCAAGTGGATATTCGGACCACTTTGAGGCCTTCATAGGAAACGGTAATATCTTCACATAAAAACTAGATAGAAGCATTGTCAGAAAGTTCTTTGTGATGTGTGGATTCAACTCACAGAGTTGAACCTTCCTTTAATAGAGCAGTTTTGAAACACTCTTTTTGTAGAATCTGCAAGTGGATATTTGGAGCGCTTTGAGGCCTTCGTTGGAAACCGGAATATCTTCACAGGAAAAGTAGATAGAGGCATTCTCAGAAACTCTTTGTGATATGTAGATTCAACTCACAGCGTTGAACCTTTCTTTGGATGGAGTAGTTTTGAAAAACTCTTTTATCGAATCTGCAGGTAGACATTTGGGGTGCTTTGAGGGCTGTGGTGCAAAAGGAAATGTCTTCCCATAGAAACTAGACTGAAGCATTCTCAGCAACTTCTTGGTGACGTTTGCATTCATCTCACAGTGTTGAACATACCTTTCCATAGAGTGGTTTTGAAACACTGTTTTTGTAGAATCGGCTAGTGGATATTTGGACAGCTTTCAGGCCTTCATCGGTAACGGGAATATCTTCACATAAACACTAGAGAGAAGAATTCTCAGAAACTTCTTTGTGATCTGTCCATTCAACTCACAGAGTTGAACCTTCCTTTTTATGGAGCAGTTTTGAAACACTGTTTGTGGAGAATCTGCAGGTGGATATTTGGAGCGCCTTGAGGCCAATGGTAGAAAAAGAAATATCTGCCTCTAAATACTAGACTGAAGCATTCTGAGAAACTTCTTTGTGATGTTTGCATTCAACTACCAGAGTTGAACCTTCCTTTTGATAGGGCAGTTTGGAAACACTCTTTTTGTAGAATCTGCATGTGGATATCTGGAGCGATTTGAGGCCTACGGTCCAAAAGGAAATATCTTCCTGGGAAAAATAGACGAAAGCATCCTCAGAAACTGCTTTGTGATATGTGCATTCGACTCACCGAGTTGAAACTTTTTTTGGATAGAGCAGTTTTGAAACACTCTGTAGAATCTGAAAGTGGATATTTGGAGCTCTTTGAGGGCTATGGCGGAAAAGAAAATATATTCACATTAAACAAGACAGCAGCATTCCCAGAAACTTCTTTAGGATGTTTGCAGTAAACTCACAGAGTTGAACATACCTTTCCGTAGAGCAGTTTTGAAACACTCTGTTTGTGGGATCCGCAAGTGGATATTTGGACCGCTGTGAGACCTTTGCTGGAAACGGGAATATCTTCACATATAAACTAGACAGAAGCATTCTCAGAAACTTCTTCGTGATGTGTGCATTGTACTCCCAAATTTGAATCTTCCTTCTCATGGAGCAGTTTTGAAACACTCTGTTTGTGCAATCTACAATTGGATAATTGGAACGCTTGGATGCCCATGGTAGAAAAGGAAATATCCTCATATAAAAACTAGATCAGAAGGACTCACAGAAAATGCTTTGTGATATGTGCATTCAGATCACGGAGTTGAATCTTTCTTTTGTTAGAGCAGTTTTGAAACACTGTTTCTGTGGAATCTGCCAGCGGACACTTGGAGCGCTTTGAGGGCTATGGTGGAGAAGGAAATATCTTCACATAAAAACTAGAAAGAAGCATTCTCAGAACCATTTATGTGAAGCGTGCGTTCAACTCACAGAGTTGAACCTTCCTTTTGATAGAACAGTTTTGAAACACTCTTTTGAACAATTGCAGGTGAATATTTGGAGGGCTTTGAAGCCTTTGTTGGAAATGGGAATATCTTCACACACAAACTAGCCAGAAAGCATTCTCAGAAACTTCTTTGTGATGTGTGCGTTGAACCCAGAGAGATGAACCTTTCCTTTGATAGAGCAGTTTTGAAACGTGTTTTTGTAAGATCTGCAAGCGGATAATTGGCTTCGCTTTGTGTCCTTTGGTGGAAACGGGAATATCTTCTAATAAAAACTAGACAGAAATATTCTCAGAATCTTCTTTGTGATGTGGGCATTCAGCTAACACAGTTGAACGTTTCTTTTCACAGAGCAGTTTTGAAACACTCTTTTGGTAGAATCTGCCAGTGGATATTTGGAGCGCTTTGAGGGCTATTGTGCCAATGGAAATATCTGCCCCTAAAAACTAGACAGAAGCATTCTCAGAAATTGCTTTGTGATGTTGGCATTCAACTCACAGAGTTGAACATACCTCTTCATAGAGCAGTTTTGAAAACCTCTTTTTGTAGAATCTGCAAGTGGATATTCGGACCACTTTGAGGCCTTCATAGGAAACAGTAATATCTTCACATAAAAACTAGATAGAAGCATTGTCAGAAAGTTCTTTGTGATGTGTGAATTCAACTCACAGAGTTGAACCTTCCTTTAATAGAGCAGTTTTGAAACACTCTTTTTCTAGAATCTGCAAGTAGATATTTGGAGCCCTTTGAGGCCTTCTTTGGAAACTGGAATATCTTCACATAAAAAGTATATAGAGGCATGCTCAGAAACTTTTTTGTCATATGTAGATTCAACTCACAGCGTTGAACCTTTCTTTTGATAGAGCAGTTTTGAAAAACTCTTTTATCGATTCTGCAAGTAGACATTTGGAGTGCTTTGAGGGCTCTGGTGCAAAAGGAAATGTCTTCCCATAGAAACTAGACTGAAGCATTCTCAGCAACTTCTTTGTGACGTTTGCATTCATCTCACAGTGTTGAACATACCTTTCCATAGAGTAGTTTTGAAACACTGTTTTTGTAGAATCGGCCAGTGGATATTTGGACTGCTTTGAGGCCTTCATCGGGAACGGGAATATCTTCACATAAACACTAGAGAGAAGCATTCTCAGAAACTTCTTTGTCATCTGTCCATTCAACTCACAGAGTTGAACCTTCCTTTTTATGGAGCAGTTTTGAAACACTCCTTTTGGAGAATCTGCAGGTGGATATTTGGAGCGCTTTGAGGCCTATGGTAGAAAAAGAAATATCTGCCTCTAAAAACCAGACAGAAGCATTCTGAGAAAAGTTCTTTGTGATGTCTGCATTCAACTAGCAGAGTTGAACCTTCCTTTTGATAGGGCAGTTTGGAAACACTCTTTTTGTAGAATCTGCATGTGGATATCTGGAGCGGTTTGAGGCCTACGGTCAAAAAGGAAATATCTTCCTGGGAAAAATAGACGAAAGCATCCTCAGAAACTGCTTTGTGATATGTGCATTCGACTCACTGAGTTGAAACTTTTTTTGGATAGAGCAGTTTTGAAACACTCTGTAGAATCTGAAAGTGGATATTTGGAGCTCTTTGAGGGCTATGGCGGAAAAGAAAATATATTCACATTAAACTAGACAGCAGCATTCTCAGAAACTTCTTTAGGATGTTTGCAGTAAACTCACAGAGTTGAAACCTACCTTTCCGTAGAGCAGTTTTGAAACACTCTGTTTGTGGGATCCGCAAGTAGATATTTGGACCGCTTTGAGACCTTTGCTGGAAATGGGAATATCTTCACATATAAACTAGACAGAAGCATTCTCAGAAACTTCTTCGTGATGTGTGCATTCTACTCCCAAATTTGAATCTTCCTTTTCATGAAGCAGTTTTGAAACACTCTATTTGTCCAATCTACAATGGGATAATTGGAACGCTTTGATGCCCATGGTAGAAAAGGAAATATCCTCATATAAAAACTAGACAGAAGGATTCACAGAAAATGCTTTGTGATGTGTGCATTCAAATCACGGAGTTGAATCTTTCTTTTGTTAGAGCAGTTTTGAAACACTGTTTCTGTGGAATCTGCCAGCGGACACTAGGAGCGCTTTGAGGGCTATGGTGGAGAAGGAAATATCTTCACATAAAAACTAGAAAGAAGCATTCTCAGAACCATTTATGTTAAGCGTGCATTCAACTCACAGAGTTGAACCTTCCTTTTGATAGAACAGTTTTGAAACACTCTTTTGAACAATTGCAGGTGAATATTTGGAGGGCTTTGAAGCCTTTGTTGGAAATGGGAATATCTTCACACACAAACTAGCCAGAAGCATTCTCAGAAACTTCTTTGTGATGTGTGCGTTGAACCCAGGGAGATGAACCTTTCCTTTGATAGAGCAGTTTTGAAACGTGTTTTTGTAAGATCTGCAAGCGGATAGTTGGCTTCGGTTTGTGTCCTTTGGTGGAAACGGGAATATCTTCTAATAAAAACTAGACAGAAATATTCTCAGAATCTTCTTTGTGATGTGGGCATTCAGCTAACACAGTTGAACGTTTCTTTTCACAGAGCAGTTTTGAAACACTCTTTTGGTAGAATCTGCCAGTGGATATTTGGAGCGCTTTGAGGGCTATTGTGCCAACGGAAATATCTGCCCCTAAAAACTAGACAGAAGCATTCTCAGAAACTGCTTTGGGATGTTTGCATTCAACTCACAGAGTTGAACATACCTCTTCATAGAGCAGTTTTGAAAACCTCTTTTTGTAGAATCTGCAAGTGGATATTCGGACCACTTTGAGGCCTTCATAGGAAACAGTAATATCATCACATAAAAACTAGATAGAAGCATTGTCAGAAAGTTCTTTTTGATGTGTGAATTCAACTCACAGAGTTGAACCTTCCTTCAATAGAGCAGTTGTGAAACACTCTTTTTCTAGAATCTGCAAGTAGATACTTGGAGCGCTTTGAGGCCTTCGTTGGAAACCGGAATATCTTCACAGGAAAAGTAGATAGAGGCATGCTCAGAAACTTTTTTGTCATATGTAGATTCAACTCACAGCGTTGAACCTTTCTTTTGATAGAGCAGTTTTGAAAAACTCTTTTATCGAATCTGCAAGTAGACATTTGGAGTGCTTTGACGGCTCTGGTGCAAAAGGAAATGTCTTCCCATAGAACCTAGACTGAATCATTCTCAGCAACTTCTTGGTGACGTTTGCATTCATCTCACAGTGTTGAACATACCTTTGCATAGAGTAGTTTCGAAACACTATTTTTGTAGAATCTGCAAGTGGACATTCGGACTGCTTTGAGGCCTTCATCGGAAACGGGAATATCTTCACATAAACACTAGACAGAAGCATTCTCAGAAACTTCTTTGTGGTCTGTCCATTCAACTCACAGAGTTGAACCTTCCTTTTTATGGAGCAGTTTTGAAACACTGTTTTCGGAGGATCTGCAAGTGGATATTTGGAGCGCTTTGAGGCCTATGGTAGTAAAAGAAATATCTGCCTATGACAACTAGACAGAAGCATTCCGAGAAAAGTTCTTTGTGATGTTTGCATTCAACTAGCAGAGTTGAACCTTCCTTTTGATAGGGCAGTTTGGAAACACTCTTTTTGTAGAATCTGCATGTGGATATCTGGAGCGGTTTGAGGCCTACGGTCAAAAAGGAAATATCTTCCTGGGAAAAATAGACGAAAGCATTCTCAGCAAAGGGCTTTGTGATATGCGCATTCGACTCACCGAGTTGAAACTTTTTTTTGATAGAGCAGTTTTGAAACACTCTGTAGAACCTGAAAGTGGATATTTGGAGCTCTTTCAGGGCTATGACGGAAAAGAAAATATATTCACATTAAAGTAGACAGCAGCATTCTCAGAAACTTCTTTAGGATGTTTGCAGTAAACTCACAGAGTTGAACCTACCTTTCCGTAGAGCAGTTTTGAAACACTCTGTTTGTGGGATCCGCAAGTGGATATTTGGACCGCTTTGAGACCTTTGCTGGAAATGGGAATATCTGCACATTTAAACTAGACAGAAGCATTCTCAGAAACTTCTTCGTGATGTGTGCATTCTCCTCCCGAATTTGAATCTTCCTTTTTATGAAGCAGTTTTGAAACACTCTGTTTGTGCAATCCACAATTGGATAATTGGAACGCTTTGATGCCCATGGTAGAAAAGGAAATATCCTCATATAAAAACTAGACAGAAGGATTCACAGAAAATGCTTTGTGATGTGTGCATTCAAATCACGGAGTTGAATCTTTCTTTTGTCAGAGCAGTTTTGAAACACTGTTTCTGTGGAATCTGCCAGCGGACTCTTGGAGCTCTTTGAGGGCTATGGTGGAGAAGGAAATATCTTCCCATAAAAACTAGAAAGAAGCATTCTCAGAAACATTTATGTGAAGCGTGCATTCAACTCACAGAGTTGAACCTTCCTTTTGATACAACAGTTTTGAAACACTCTTTTGAACAATTGCAGGTGAATCTTTGGAGCGCTTTGAAGCCTTTGTTGGAAATGGGAATATCTTCACACACAAACTAGCCAGAAGTATTCCCAGAAACTTCTTTGTGATGTGTGCGTTGAACCCAGAGAGATGAACCTTTCCTTTGATAGAGCAGTTTTGAAACGTGTTTTTGTAAGATCTGCAAGCGGATAATTGGCTTTGCTTTGTGTCCCTTGGTGGAAACGGGAATATCTTCTAATAAAAACTAGACAGAGATATTCTCAGAAACTTCTTTGTGATGTGGGCATTCAACTAACACAGTCGAACATTTCTTTTCATGAAGCAGTTTTGAAACACTCTTTTGGACGAATCTGCCAGTGGATATTTGGAGCGCTTTGAGGGCTATTGTGCCAATGGAAATATCTGCCCCTAAAAACTAGACAGAAGCATTCTCAGAAACTGCTTTGGGATGTCTGCATTCAACTCACAGAGTTGAACATACCTCTTCATAGAGCAGTTTCGAAAACCTCTTTTTGTAGAATCTGCAAGTGGATATTCGGAACACTTTGAGGCCTTCATAGGAAACAGTAATATCATCACATAAAAACTAGATAGAAGCATTGTCAGAAAGTTCTTTGTGATGTGTGAATTCAACACACAGAGTTGAACCTTCCTTTAATAGAGCAGTTTTGAAACACTCTTTTTCTAGAATCTGCCAGTAGATATTTGGAGCGCTTTGAGGCCTTCGTTGGAAACCGGAATATCTTCACATAAAACGTAGATAGAGGCATTCTCAGAAACTTTTTCGTGATATGTGGATTCAACTCACAGCGTTGAACCTTTCTTTTGATAGAGCAGTTTTGTAAAACTCTTTTATCGAATCTGCAAGTAGACATTTGGAGTGCGTTGAGGGCTGTGGTGCAAAAGGAAATGTCTTCCCATAGAAAGTAGACTGAAGCATTCTCAGCAACTTCTTGGTGACGTTTGCATTCATCTCACAGTGTTGAACATACCTTTACATAGAGTGGTTTTGAAACACTGTTTTTGTAGAATCGGCAAGTGGATATTTGGACTGCTTTGAGGCCTTCATCGGAAACGGGAATATCTTCACTTAAACACTAGAGAGAGAAGCATTCTCAGAAACTTCTTTGTGGTCTGTCCATTCAACTCACAGAGTTGAACCTTCCTTTTTATGGAGCAGTTTTGAAACACTGTTTTTGGAGGATCTGCAAGTGGATATTTGGAGCGCTTTGAGGCCTATGGTAGAAAAAGAAATATCTGCCTATGACAACTAGACAGAAGCATTCTGAGAAACTTCTTTGTGATGTTTGCATTCAACTACCAGAGTTGAACCTTCCTTTTGATAGGGCAGTTTGGAAACACTCTTTTTGTAGAATCTGCATGTGGATATCTGGAGCGATTTGAGGCCTATGGTCAAAAAGGAAATAACTTCCTGGGAAAAATAGACGAAAGCATTCTCAGAAACTGCTTTGTGATATGTGCATTCGACTCACCGAGTTGAAACTTTTTTTTGATAGAGCAGTTTTGAAACACTCTGTAGAATCTGAAAGTGGATATTTGGAGCTCTTTGAGGGCTATGGCAGAAAAGAAAATATATTCACATTAAAGTAGACAGCAGCATCCTCAGAAACTTCTTTATGATGTTTGCATTAAACTCACAGAGTTGAACATACCTTTCCATAGAGCAGTTTTGAAACACTCTTTTTGGGGAATCCGCAAGTGGATATTTGGACCGCTTTGAGACCTTTGCTGGAAATGGGAATATCTTCACATATAAACTAGACAGAAGCATTCTCAGAAACTTCTTGGTGATGTGTGCATTGTACTCCCAAATTTGAATCTTCCTTCTCATGGAGCAGTTTTGAAACACTCTGTTTGTGCAATCTACAATTGGAGAATTGGAACGCTTGGATGCCCGTGGTAGAAAAGGAAATATCCTCATATAAAAACTAGACAGAAGGATTCACAGAAAATGCTTTGTGATGTGTGCATTCAAATCACGGAGTTGAATCTTTCTTTTGTCAGAGCAGTTTTGAAACACTGTTTCTGTGGAATCTGCCAGCGGACACTTGGAGCGCTTTGAGGGCTACGGTGGAGAAGGAAATATCTTCACATAAAAACTAGAAAGAAGCATTCTCAGAAACATTTCTGTGAAGCATGCATTCAACTCACAGAGTTGAACCTTCCTTTTGTTAGAACAGTTTTGAAAAACTCTTTTGAACAATTGCAGGTGAATATTTGGAGCGCTTTGAAGCCTTTGCTGGAAATGGGAATATCTTCACGCACAAAGTAGCCAGAAGCATTCTCAGAAACTTCTTTGTGATGTGTGCGTTGAACCCAGAGAGATGAACCTTTTCCTTTGATAGAGCAGTTTTGAAACGTGTTTTTGTAAGATCGGCAAGTGGATAATTGGCTTCGCTTTGTGTCCTTTGTTGGAAACGGGAATATCTTCTAATAAAAACTAGACAGAAATATTCTCACAATCATCTTTGTGATGTGGGCATTCAACTAACACAGTTGAACATTTCTTTTCACAGAGCCGTTTTGAAACACTCTTTTGCTAGAATCTGCCAGTGGATACTTGGAGCGCTTTGAGGGCTATTGTGCCAATGGAGATATCTTCCCCTAAAAACTAGACAGAAGCATTCTCAGAAACTACATTGTGATGTTTGCATTCGACTCACAGAGTTGAACATACCTCTTCATAGAGCAGTTTTGAAAACCTTTTTTGTAGAACCTGAAAGTGGATATTCGGTCCTCTTTGAAGCCTTCATAGGAAACAGTAATATCTTCACATAAAACCTAGCTAGAAGCATTGTCAGAAAGTTCTTTGTGATGTGTGAATTCAACTCACAGAGTTGAACCTTCCTTTAATAGAGAAGTTTTGAAACACTCTTTTTCTAGAATCTGCAAGTAGATATTTGGAGCGCTTGGAGGCCTTCGTTGGAAACCGGAATATCTTCACAGGAAATGTAGATAGAGGCATGCTCAGAAACTTTTTTGTCATATGTAGATTCAACTCACAGCGTTGAACCTTTCTTTTGATAGAGCAGTTTTGAAAAACTCTTTTATCGAATCTGCAAGTAGACATTTGGAGTGCTTTGAGGGCTCTGGTGCAAAAGGAAATGTCTTCCCATAGAAAGTAGACTGAAGCATTCTCAGCAACTTCTTGGTGACGTTTGCATTCATCTCACAGTGTTGAACATACCTTTCCCTAGAGTGGTTTTGAAACACTGTTTTTGTAGAATCGGCAAGTGGATATTTGGACTGCTTTGAGGCCTTCATCGGAAAAGGGAATATCTTCACATAAACACTAGAGAGAAGCATTCTCAGAAACTTCTTTGTGGTCTGTCCATTCAACTCACAGAGTTGAACCTTCCTTTTTATGGAGCAGTTTTGAAACACTGTTTTCGGAGAATCTGCAAGTGGATATTTGGAGCGCTTTGAGGCCTATGGTAGAAAAAGAAATATCTGCCTATGACAACTAGACAGAAGCATTCTGAGAAACTTCTTTGTGATGTTTGCATTGAACTACCAGAGGTGAACCTTCCTTTTGATAGGGCAGTTTGGAAACACTCTTTTTGTAGAATCTGCATGTGGATATCTGGAGCGATTTGAGGCCTACGGTCCAAAAGGAAATATCTTCCTGGGAAAAATAGACGAAAGCATTCTCAGAAACTGCTTTGTGATATGTGCATTCGACTCACCGAGTTGAAACTTTTTTTGGATAGAGCAGTTTTGAAACACTCTGTAGAATCTGAAAGTGGATATTTGGAGCTCTTTGAGGGCTATGGCGGAAAAGAAAAGATATTCACATTAAACTAGACAGCAGCATTCCCAGTAAACTTCTTTAGGATGTTTGCAGTAAACTCACAGAGTTGAACATACCTTTCCGTAGAGCAGTTTTGAAACACTCTGTTTGTGGGATCCGCAAGTGGATATTTGGACCGCTTTGAGACCTTTGCTGGAAACGGGAATATCTTCACATATAAACTGGACAGAAGCATTCTCAGAAACTTCCTCGTGATGTGTGCATTCTACTCCCGAATTTGAATCTTCCTTTTCATGAAGCAGTTTTGAAACACTCTGTTTGTGCGATCCACAATTGGATAATTGGAACGCTTTGATGCCCATGGTAGAAAAGGAAATATCCTCATATGAAAACTAGACAGAAGGATTCACAGAAAATGCTTTGTGATGTGTGCATTCAAATCACGGAGTTGAATCTTTCTTTTGTTAGAGCAGTTTTGAAACACTCTTTCTGTGGAATCTGCCAGCGGACACTTGGAGCGCTTTGAGGGCTATGGTGGAGAAGGAAATATCTTCACATAAAAACTAGAAAGAAGCATTCTCAGAAACATTTATGTGAAGCGTGCATTCAACTCACAGCAGTTGAACCTTCCTTTTGATACAACAGTTTTGAAACACTCTTTTGAACAATTGCAGGTGAATCTTTGGAGCGCTTTGAAGCCTTTGTTGGAAATGGGAATATCTTCACACACAAACTAGCCAGAAGCATTCTCAGAAACTTCTTTGTGATGTGTGTGTTGAACCCAGAGAGATGAACCTTTCCTTCGATAGAGCAGTTTTGAAACGTGTTTTTGTAAGATCGGCAAGCGGATAATTGGCTTCGCTTTGTGTCCTTTGGTGGAAACGGGAATATCTTCTAATAAAAACTAGACAGAAATATTCTCAGAATCTTCTTTGTGATGTGGGCATTCAACAAACACAGTTGAACGTTTCTTTTCACAGAGCAGTTTTGAAACACTCTTTTGGTAGAATCTGCCAGTGGATATTTGGAGCGCTTTGAGGGCTATTGTGCCAATGGAAATAACTTCCCCTAAAAACTAGACAGAAGCATTCTCAGAAACTGCTTTGTGATGTTTGCATTCAACTCACAGAGTTGAACCTACCTCTTCATAGAGCAGTTTGGAAAACCTCTTCTTGTAGAATCTGCAAGTGGATATTCGGACCACTTTGAGGCTTTCATAGGAAACAGTAATATCTTCACATAAAAACTAGATAGAAGCATTGTCAGAAAGTTCTTTGTGATGTGTGAATTCAACTCACAGAGTTGAACCTTCCTTTAATAGAGCAGTTTTGAAACACTCTTCTTCTAGAATCTGCAAGTAGATATTTGGAGCGTTTTGAGGCCTTCGTTGGAAACCGGAATATCTTCACAGAAAAAGTAGATAGAGGCATTCTCAGAAACTTTTTCGTGATATGTGGATTCAACTCAAAGCGTTGAACCTTTCTTTTGATAGAGCAGTTTTGTAAAACTCTTTTATCGAATCTGCAAGTAGACATTTGGAGTGCTTTGGGGGCTGTGGTGCAAAAGGAAATGTCTTCCCATAGAAACTAGACTGAAGCATTCTCAGCAACTTCTTTGTGACGTTTGCATTCATCTCACAGTGTTGAACATACCTTTCCATAGAGTAGTTTTGAAACACTGTTTTTGTAGAATCGGGAAGTGGATATTTGGACTGCTTTGAGGCCTTCATCGGAAACGGGAATATCTTCACATAAACACTAGAGAGAAGCATCCTCAGAAACTTCTTTGTCATCTGTCCATTCAACTCACAGAGTTGAACCTTCCTTTTTCTGGAGCAGTTTTGAAACACTCTTTTTGGAGAATCTGCAAGTGGATATTTGGAGCGCTTTGAGGCCTATGGTAGAAAAATAAATATCTGCCTCTAAAAACCAGACAGAAGCATTCCGAGAAACTTCTTTGTGATGTTTGCATTCAACTAGCAGAGTTGAACCTTTCTTTTGATAGGGCAGTTTGGAAACACTCTTTTTGTAGAATCTGCATGTGGATATCTGGAGCGGTTTGAGGCCTACGGTCAAAAAGGAAATATCTTCCTGGGAAAAATAGACGAAAGCATTCTCAGAAACTGCTTTGTGATATGGGCATTCGACTCACCGAGTTGAATCTTTTTTTTGATAGAGCAGTTTTGAAACACTCTGTAGAATCTGAAAGTGGATATTTGGAGCTCTTTGAGGGCTATGGCGGAAAAGAAAATATATTCACATTAAACTAGAGAGGAGCATTCTCAGAAACTTCTTTAGGATGTTTGCAGTAAACTCACAGAGTTGAACATACCTTTCCGTAGAGCAGTTTTGAAACACTCTGTTTGTGGGATCCGCAAGTGGATATTTGGACCGCTTTGAGAACTTTGCTGGAAATGGCAATATCTTCACGTATTAACTAGACAGAAGCATTCTCAGAAACTTCTTCGTGATGTGTGCATTCTACTCCCGAATTTGAATCTTCCTTTTCATGAAGCAGTTTTGAAACACTCTGTTTGTGCAATCCACAATTGGATAATTGGAACGCTTTGATGCCCATGGTAGAAAAGGAAATATCCTCATATAAAAACCAGACGGAAGGATTCACAGAAAATGCTTTGTGATGTGTGCATTCAAATCGCGGAGTTGAATCTTTCTTTTGTTAGAGCAGTTTTGAAACACTGTTTCTGTGGAATCTGCCAGCGGACACTTGGAGCGCTTTGAGGGCTATGGTGGAGAAGGAAATATCTTCACATAAAAACTAGAAAGAAGCATTCTCAGAAACATTTATGTGAAGCGTGCATTCAACTCACAGAGTTGAACCTTCCTTTTGATACAACAGTTTTGAAACATTCTTTTGAACAATTGCAGGTGAATCTTTGGAGCGCTTTGAAGCCTTTGTTGGAAATGGGAATATCTTCACACACAAACTAGCCAGAAGCATTCTCAGAAACTTCTTTGTGATGTGTGCGTTGAACCCAGAGAGATGAACCTTTCCTTCGATAGAGCAGTTTTGAAACGTGTTTTTGTAAGGTCGGCAAGCGGATAAATGGCTTCGCTTTGTGTCCTTTGGTGGAAACGGGAATATCTTCTAATAAAAACTAGACAGAAATATTCTCAGAATCTCCTTTGTGATGTGGGCATTCAACTAACACAGTTGAACATTTCTTTTCACAGGGCAGTTTTGAGACACTCTTTTGGTAGAATCTGCCAGTGGATATTTGGAGCGCTTTGAGGGCTGTTGTGCCAATGGAAATATCTGCCCCTAAAATCTAGACAGAAGCATTCTCTGAAACTACTTTGTGATGTTTGCATTCAACTCACAGAGTTGAACATACCTCTTCATAGAGCAGTTTTGAAAACCTCTTTTTGAAGAATCTGCAAGTGGATATTCGGACCACTTTGAGGCCTTCATAGGAAACAGTAATATCTTCACATAAAAACTAGATAGAAGCATTGTCAGAAAGTTCTTTGTGATGTGTGAATTCAACTCACAGAGTTGAAACTTCCTTTAATAGAGCAGTTTTGAAACACTCTTTTTCTAGAATCTGCAAGTAGATATTTGGAGCGCTTTGAGGCCTTCTTTGGAAACCGGAATATCTTCACATAAAAAGTAGATAGAGGTATTCTCAGAAACTTTTTTGTGATATGTAGATTCAACTCACAGCGTTGAACCTTTCTTTTGATAGAGCAGTTTTGAAAAACTCTTTTATCGAATCTGCATGTGGACATTTGGAGTGCTTTGAGGGCTGTGGTGCAAAAGGAAATGTCTTCACATAGAAACTAGACTGAAGCATTCTCAGCAACTTCTTTGTGACGTTTGCATTCATCTCACAGTGTTGAACATACCTTTCCATAGAGTAGTTTTGAAACACTATTTTTGTAGAATCTGCAAGTGGATATTTGGACTGCTTTGAGGCCTTCATCGGAAACGGGAATATCTTCACATAAACACTAGACAGAAGCATTCTCAGAAACTTCTTTGTGATCTGTCCATTCAACTCACAGAGTTGAACCTTCCTTTTTATGGAGCAGTTTTGAAACACTGTTTTTGGAGAATCTGCAAGTAGATATTTGGAGCGCTTTGTGGCCTATGGTAGAAAAAGAAATATCTGCCTATAACAGCTAGACAGAAGCATTCCGAGAAACTTCTCTGTGATGTTTGCCTTCAACTAGCAGAGTTGAACCTTCCTTTTGATAGGGCAGTTTGGAAACACTCTTTTTGTAGAATCTGCATGTGGATATCTGGAGCGGTTTGAGGCCTACGGTCAAAAAGGAAATATCTTCCTGGGAAAAATAGACGAAAGCATTCTCAGAAACTGCTTTGTGATATGTGCATTCGACTGACCGAGTTGAAACTTTTTTTTGATAGAGCAGTTTTGAAACACTCTGTAGAATCTGAAAGTGGATATTTGGAGCTCTTTGAGGGCTATGGCGGAAAAGAAACTATATTCACATTAAAGTAGACAGCAGCATTCTCAGCAAACATCTTTAGGATGTTTGCAGTAAACTCACAGAGTTGAACATACCTTTCCGTAAAGCAGTTTTGAAACCCTCTGTTTGTGGGATCTGCAAGTGGATATTTGGACCGCTTTGAGACCTTTGCTGGAAATGGGAATATCTTCACATATAAACTAGACAGAAGCATTCTCAGAAACTTCTTCGTGATGTGTGCATTGTACTCCCAAATTTGAATCTTCCTTCTCATGGAGCAGTTTTGAAACACTCTGTTTGTGCAATCTACAATTGGAGAATTGGAACGCTTGGATGCCCGTGGTAGAAAAGGAAATATCCTCATACAAAAACTAGACAGAAGGATTCACAGAAAATGCTTTGTGATGTGTGCATTCAAATCACGGAGTTGAATCTTTCTTTTGTTAGAGCAGTTTTGAAACACTGTTTCTGTGGAATCTGCCAGGGGACACTTGGAGCGCTTTGAGGGCTATGGTGGAGAAGGAAATATCTTCACATAAAAACTAGAAAGAAATATTCTCAGAAATCTTCTTTGTGATGTGGGCATTCAACTAACACAGTTGAACATTTCTTTTCACAGAACAGTTTTGAAACACTCTTTTGAACAATTGCAGGTGAATCTTTGGAACGCTTTGAAGCCTTTGTTGGAAATAGGAATATATTCACACACAAACTAGCCAGAAGCATTCTCAGAAACTTCTTTGTGATGTGTGCGTTGAACCCAGAGAGATGAACCTTTCCTTTGATAGAGCAGTTTTGAAACGTGTTTTTGTAAGATCTGCAAGCAGATAATTGGCTTCGCTTTGTGTCCTTTGGTGGAAACGGGAATATCTTCTAATAAAAACTAGACAGAAATATTCTCAGAATCTCCTTTGTGATGTGGGCATTCAACTAACACAGTTGAACATTTCTTTTCACAGAGCAGTTTTGAAACACTCTTTTGGTAGAATCTGCCAGTGGATATTTGGAGCGCTTGGAGGGCTATTGTGCCAATGGAAATATCTGCCCCTAAAAACTAGACAGAAGCATTCTCAGAAACTACTTCGTGATGTTTGCATTCAACACACAGAGTTGAACATACCTCTTCACAGAGCAGTTTTGAAAACCTCTTTCTGTAGAATCTGCAAGTGGATATTCGGACCACTTTGAGGCCTTCATAGGAAACAGTAATATCTTCACATAAAAACTAGACAGAAGCATTGTCAGAAAGTTCTTTGTGATGTGTGAATTCAACTCACAGAGTTGAACCTTCCTTTAATAGAGCAGTTTTGAAACACTCTTTTTCTAGAATCTGCAAGTAGATATTTGGAGCGCTTTGAGGCCTTCGTTGGAAACCGGAATATCTTCACATAAAAAGTAGATAGAGGCATGCTCAGCAAACTTTTTTGTCATATGTAGATTCAACTCACAGCGTTGAACCTTTCTTTTGATAGAGCAGTTTTGAAAAACTCTTTTATCGAATCTGCAAGTAGACATTTGGAGTGCTTTGAGGGCTCTGGTGCAAAAGGAAATGTCTTCCCATAGAAACTAGACTGAAGCATTCTCAGCAACTTCTTGGTGACGTTTGCATTCATCTCACAGTGTTGAACATACCTTTAGATAGAGTGGTTTTGAAACACTGTTTTTGTAGAATCGGCAAGTGGATATTTGGACTGCTTTGAGGCCTTCATCGGAAACGGGAATATCTTCACATAAACACTAGAGAGAAGCATTCTCAGAAACTTCTTTGTCATCTGTCCATTCAACTCACAGAGTTGAACCTTCCTTTTTATGGAGCAGTTTTGAATCACTCCTTTTGGAGTATCTGCAGGTGGATATTTGGAGCGCTTTGAGGCCTATGGTAGAAAAAGAAATATCTGCCTCTAAAAACCAGACAGAAGCATTCTGAGGAAACTTCTTTGTGATGTTTGCATTCAACTACCAGAGTTGAACCTTCCTTTTGATAGGGCAGTTTGGAAACAGTCTTTTTGTAGAATCTGCATGTGGATATCTGGAGCGATTTGAGGCCTACGGTCCAAAAGGAAATATCTTCCTGGGAAAAATAGACGAAAGCATCCTCAGAAACTGCTTTGTGATATGTGCATTCGACTCACCGAGTTGAAACTTTTTTTGGATAGAGCAGTTTTGAAACACTCTGTAGAATCTGAAAGTGGATATTTGGAGCTCTTTGAGGGCTATGGCGGAAAAGAAAATATATTCACATTAAACTAGACAGCAGCATTCCCAGAAACTTCTTTAGGATGTTTGCAGTAAACTCACAGAGTTGAACATACCTTTCCGTAGAGCAGTTTTGAAACACTCTGTTTGTGGGATCCGCAAGTGAATATTTGGACCCCTTTGAGACCCTTGCTGGAAACGGGAATATCTTCACATATAAACTAGACAGAAGCATTCTCAGAAACTTCTTTGTGATGTGTGCATTCTACACCCAAATTTGAATCTTCCTTTTCATGAAGCAGTTTTGAAACACTCTATTTGTGCAATCTACAATTGGATAATTGGAAATCTTTGATGCCCATGGTAGAAAAGGAAATATCCTCATATAAAAACTAGACAGAAGGATTCACAGAAAATGCTTTGTGATGTGTGCATTCAAATCACGGAGTTGAATCTTTCTTTTGTTAGAGCAGTTTTGAAACACTGTTTCTGTGGAATCTGCCAGCGGACACTTGGAGCGCTTTGAAGGCTATGGTGGAGAAGGAAATATCTTCACATAAAAACTAGAAAGAAGCATTCTCAGAAACATTTATGTGAAGCGCGCATTCAACTCACAGAGTTGAACCTTCCTTTTGATACAACAGTTTTGAAACACTCTTTTGAACAATTGCAGGTGAATCTTTGGAGCGCTTTGAAGCCTTTGTTGGAAATGGGAATATCTTCACACTCAAACTAGCCAGAAGCATTCCCAGAAACTTCTTTGTGATGTGTGCGTTGAACCCAGAGAGATGAACCTTTCCTTTCATAGAGCAGTTTTGAAACGTGTTTTTGTAAGATCGGCAAGCGGATAAGTGGCTTCGCTTTGTGTCCTTTGGTGGAAACGGGAATATCTTCTAATAAAAACTAGACAGAAATATTCTCAGAATCTTCTTTGTGATGTGGGCATTCAACTAACACAGTTGAACATTTCTTTTCACAGAGCAGTTTTGAAACACTCTTTTGGTAGAATCTGCCAGTGGATATTTGGAGCGCTTTGAGGGCTATTGTGCCAATGGAAATATCTGCCCCTAAAAACTAGACAGAAGCATTCTCAGAAACTGCTTCGTGATGTTTGCATTCAACTCACAGACTTGAACATACCTCTGCATAGAGCAGTTTTGAAAACCTCTTTTTGTAGAATCTGCAAGTGGATATTCGGACCACTTTGAGGCCTTCATAGGAAACAGTAATATCTTCACATAAAAACTAGATAGAAGCATTGTCAGAAAGTTCTTTGTGATGTGTGAATTCAACTCACAGAGTTGAACCTTCCTTTAATAGAGCAGTTTTGAAACACTCTTTTTCTAGAATCTGCAAGTCGATATTTGGAGCGCTTTGAGGCCTTCTTTGGAAACCGGAATATCTTCACATAAAAAGTAGATAGAGGCATTCTCAGAAACTTTTTTGTGATATGTAGATTCAACTCACAGCGTTGAACCTTTCTTTGGATGGAGCAGTTTTGAAAAACCCTTTTATCGAATCTGCAGGTAGACATTTGGGGTGCTTTGAGGGCTGTGGTGCAAAAGGTAATGTCTTCCCATAGAAACTAGACTGAAGCATTCTCAGCAACTTCTTTGTGACGTTTGCATTCATCTCACAGTGTTGAACATACCTTTCCATAGAGTAGTTTTGAAACACTATTTTTGTAGAATCTGCAAGTGGATATTTGGACTGCTCTGAGGCCTTCATCGGAAACGGGAATATCTTCACATAAACACTAGACAGAAGCATTCTCAGAAACTTCTTTGTGGTCTGTCCATTCAATTCACAGAGTTGAACCTTCCTTTTTATGGAGCAGTTTTGAAACACTGTTTTTGGAGAATCCGCAAGTGGATATTTGGAGCGCTTAGAGGCCTATGGTAGAAAAAGAAATATCTGCCTATGACAACTAGACAGAAGCATTCTGAGAAACTTCTTTGTGATGTTTGCATTCAACTACCAGAGTTGAACCTTCCTTTTGATAGGGCAGTTTGGAAACACTCTTTTCGCAGAATCTGCATGTGGATATCTGGAGCGATTTGAGGCCTACTGTCCAAAAGGAAATATCTTCCTGGGAAAAATAGACGAAAGCATTCTCAGAAACTGCTTTGTGATATGTGCATTCGACTCACCGAGTTGAAACTTTTTTTGGATAGAGCAGTTTTGAAACACTCTGTAGAATCTGAAAGTGGATATTTGGAGCTCTTTGAGGGCTATGGCGGAAAAGAAAATATATTCACATTAAACTAGACAGCAGCATTCTCAGAAACTTCTTTAGGATGTTTGCAGTAAACTCAAAGAGTTGAACATACCTTTCCGTAGAGCAGTTTTGAAACACTCTGTTTGTGGGATCCGCAAGTGGATATTTGGACCGCTTTGAGACCTTTGCTGGAAATGGGAATACCTGCACATTTACACTAGACAGAAGCATTCTCAGAAACTTCTTCGTGATGTGTGCATTCTACTCCCAAATTTGAATCTTCCTTTTCATGAAGCAGTTTTGAAACACTCTGTTTGTGCAATCCACAATTGGATAATTGGAACGCTTTGATGCCCATGGTAGAAAAGGAAATATCCTCATATAAAAACTAGACACAAGGATTCACAGAAAATGCTTTGTGATGTGTGCATTCAAATCACGGAGTTGAATCTTTCTTTTGTCAGAGCAGTTTTGAAACACTGTTTCTGTGGAATCTGCCAGCGGACACTTGGAGCGCTTTGAGGGCTATGGTGGAGAAGGAAATATCTTCCCTAAAAATTAGAAAGAAGCATTCTCAGAAACATTTATGTGAAGCGTGCATTCAACTCACAGAGTTGAACCTTCCCTTTCATACAACAGTTTTGAAACACTCTTTTGAACAATTGCAGGTGAATCTTTGGAGCGCTTTGAAGCCTTTGTTGGAAATGGGAATATCTTCACACACAAACTAGCCAGAAGCATTCTCAGAAACTTCTTTGTGATGTGTGCGTTGAACCCAGAGAGATGAACCTTTCCTTTGATAGAGCAGTTTTGAAACGTGTTTTTGTAAGATCTGCAAGCGGATAATTGGCTTCGCTTTGTGTCCTTTGGTGGAAACGGGAATATCTTCTAATAAAAACTAGACAGAAATATTCTCAGAATCTTCTTTGTGATGTGGGCATTCAACTAACACAGTTGAACCTTTCTTTTCACAGAGCAGTTTTGAAACACCCTTTTGGTAGAATCTGCCAGTGGATATTTGGAGCGCTTTGAGGGCTATTGTGCCAACGGAAATATCTGCCCCTAAAAACTAGACAGAAGCATTCTCAGTAAACTACTTTGTGATGTTTGCATTCAACTCACAGAGTTGAACATACCTCTTCATAGAGCAGTTTTGAAAACCTCTTTTTGTAGAATCTGCAAGTGGATATTCGGACCACTTTGAGGCCTTCATAGGAAACAGTAATATCTTCACATAAAAACTAGATAGAAGCATTGTCAGAAAGTTCGTTGTGATGTGTGAATTCAACTCACAGAGTTGAAGCTTCCTTTAATAGAGCAGTTTTGAAACACTCTTTTTCTAGAATCTGCAAGTAGATATTTGGAGCGCTTTGAGGCCTTCGTTGGAAACCGGAATATCTTCACATAAAAAGTAGATAGAGGCATTCTCAGAAACTTTTTGTGATATGTAGATTCAACTCACAGCGTTGAACCTTTCTTTGGATGGAGCAGTTTTGAAAAACTCTTTTATCGAATCTGCAGGTAGACATTTGGGGTGCTTTGAGGGCTGTGGTGCAAAAGGAAATGTCTTCCCATAGAAACTAGACTGAAGCATTCTCAGCAACTTCTTGGTGACGTTTGCATTCATCTCACAGTGTTGAACATACCTTTCCATAGAGTGGTTTTGAAACACTGTTTTTGTATAATCGGCAAGTGGATATTTGGACTGCTTTCAGGCCTTCATCGGAAACGGGAATATCTTCACATAAACACTAGAGAGAAGCATTCTCAGAAACTTCTTTGTGATCTGTCCATTCAACTCACAGAGTTGAACCTTCCTTTTTATGGAGCAGTTTTGAATCACTGTTTTTGGAGAATCTGCAAGTGGATATTTGGAGCGCTTTGAGGCCTATGGTAGAAAAAGAAATATCTGCCTCTAAAAACCAGACAGAAGCATTCCGAGAAACTTCTTTGTGATGTTTGCATTCAACTAGCAGAGTTGAACCTTCCTTTTGATAGGGCAGTTTGGAAACACTCTTTTTGTAGAATCTGCATGTGGATATCTGGAGTGGTTTGAGGCCTACGGTCAAAAAGGAAATATCTTCCTGGGAAAAATAGACGAAAGCATTCTCAGAAACTGCTTTGTGATATGTGCATTCGACTCACCGAGTTTAAACTTTTTTTTGATAGAGCAGTTTTGAAACACTCTGTAGAATCTGAAAGTGGATATTTGGAGCTCTTTGAGGGCTATGGCGGAAAAGAAAATATATTCACATTAAAGTAGACAGCAGCATTCTCAGAAACTTCTTTAGGATGTTTGCAGTAAACTCACAGAGTTGAACATACCTTTCCGTAAAGCAGTTTTGAAACACTCTGTTTGTGGGATCCGCAAGTGGATATTTGGACCGCTTTGAGACCTTTGCTGGAAATGGGAATATCTTCACATATAAACTAGACAGAAGCATTCTCAGAAACTTCTTCGTGATGTGTGCATTGTACTCCCAAATTTGAATCTTCCTTCTCATGGAGCAGTTTTGAAACACTCTGTTTGTGCAATCTACAATTGGAGAATTGGAACGCTTGGATGCCCGTGGTAGAAAAGGAAATATCCTCATATAAAAACTAGACAGAAGGATTCACAGAAAATGCTTTGTGATGTGTGCATTCAAATCACGGAGTTGAATCTTTCTTTTGTCAGAGCAGTTTTGGAACACTGTTTCTGTGGAATCTGCCAGCGGACACTTGGAGCGCTTTGAGGGCTATGGTGGAGAAGGAAATATCTTCCCATAAAAACTAGAGAGAAGCATTCTCAGAAACATTTATGTGAAGCGTGCATTCAACTCACAGAGTTGAACCTTCCTTTTGATACAACAGTTTTGAAACACTCTTTTGAACAATTGCAGGTGAATCTTTGGAGCGCTTTGAAGCCTTTGTTGGAAATGGGAATATCTTCACACACAAACTAGCCAGAAGCATTCTCAGAAACTTCTTTGTGATGTGTGCGTTGAACCCAGAGAGATGAACCTTTCCTTCGATAGAGCAGTTTTGAAACGTGTTTTTGTAAGTTCGGCAAGCGGATAATTGGCTTCGCTTTGTGTCCTTTGGTGGAAACGGGAATATCTTCTAATAAAAACTAGACAGAGATATTCTCAGAAACTTCTTTGTGATGTGGGCATTCAACTAACACAGTCGAACATTTCTTTTCACAGAGCAGTTTTGAAACACTCTTTTGGACGAATCTGCCAGTGGATATTTGGAGCGCTTTGAGGGCTATTGTGCCAATGGAAATATCTGCCCCTAAAAACTAGACAGAAGCATTCTCAGAAATTACTTTGTGATGTTTGCATTCAACTCACAGATTTGAACATACCTCCTCATAGAGCAGTTTTGAAAACATCTTTTTGTAGAATCTGCAAGTGGATATTCGGACCACTTTGAGGCCTTCATAGGAAACAGTAATATCTTCACAGAAAAACTAGATAGAAGCATTGTCAGAAAGTTCTTTGTGATGTGTGAATTCAACTCACAGAGTTGAACCTTCCTTTAATAGAGCAGTTTTGAAACACTCTTTTTCTAGAATCTGCAAGTAGATATTTGGAGCGCTTTGAGGCCTTCTTTGGAAACCGGAATATCTTCACATAAAAAGTAGATAGAGGCATTCTCAGAAACTCTTTGTGATATGTAGATTCAACTCACAGCGTTGAACCTTTCTTTGGATGGAGCAGTTTTGAAAAACTCTTTTATCGAATCTGCAGGTAGACATTTGGGGTGCTTTGAGGGCTGTGGTGCAAAAGGAAATGTCTTCCCATAGAAACTAGCCTGAAGCATTCTCAGCAACTTCTTGGTGACGTTTGCATTCATCTCACAGTGTTGAACATACCTTTCCATAGAGTGGTTTTGAAACACTGTTTTTGTAGAATCGGCAAGTGGATATTTGGACTGCTTTCAGGCCTTCATCGGAAACGGGAATATCTTCACATAAACACTAGAGAGAAGCATTCTCAGAAACTTCTCTGTCATCTGTCCATTCAACTCACAGAGTTGAACCTTCCTTTTTATGGAGCAGTTTGGAAACACTCCTTTTGGAGAATCTGCAAGTGGATATTTGCAGCGCTTTGAGGCCTATGGTAGAAAAAGAAATATCTGCCTCTGAAAACCAGACAGAAGCATTCCGAGAAACTTCTCTGTGATGTTTGCATTCAACTAGCAGAGTTGAACCTTCCTTTTGATAGGGCAGTTTGGAAACACTCTTTTTGTAGAATCTGCATGTGGATATCTGGAGCGGTTTGAGGCCTACGGTCAAAAAGGAAATATCTTCCTGGGAAAAATAGACAAAAGCATTCTCAGAAACTGCTTTGTGATATATGCATTCGACTCACCGAGTTGAAACTTTTTTTTGATAGAGCAGTTTTGAAACACTCTGTAGAATCTGAAAGTGGATATTTGGAGCTCTTTGAGGGCTATGGCGGCAAAGAAACTATATTCACATTAAAGTAGACAGCAGCATTCCCAGAAACTTCTTTAGGATGTTTGCAGTAAACTCACAGAGTTGAACATACCTTTCCGTAGAGCAGTTTTGAAACACTCTGTTTGTGGGATCCGCAAGTGGATATTTGGACCCCTTTGAGACCTTTGCTGGAAACGGGAATATCTTCACATATAAACTAGACAGAAGCATTCTCAGACACTTCTTGGTGATGTGTGCATTGTACTCCCAAATTTGAATCTTCCTTCTCATGGAGCAGTTTTGAAACACTCTGTTTGTGCAATCTACTATTGGAGAATTGGAACGCTTGGATGCCCGTGGTAGAAAAGGAAATATCCTCATATAAAAACTAGACAGAAGGATTCACAGAAAATGCTTTGTGATGTGTGCATTCAAATCACGGAGTTGAATCTTTCTTTTGTTAGAGCAGTTTTGAAACACTGTTTCTGTGGAATCTGCCAGCGGACACTTGGAGCACTTTGAGGGCTACGGTGGAGAAGGAAATATCTTCACATAAAAACTAGAAAGAAAGCATTCTCAGAACCATTTATGTGAAGCGTGCATTCAACTCACAGTAGTTGAACCTTCCTTTTGATAGAACAGTTTTGAAACACTCTTTTGAACAATTGCAGGTGAATATTTGGAGGGCTTTGAAGCCTTTGTTGGAAATGGGTATATCTTCACACACAAACTAGCCAGAAGCATTCTCAGAAACTTCTTTGTGATGTGTGCGTTGAACCCAGAGAGATGAACCATTCCTTTGATAGAGCAGTTTTGAAACGTGTTTTGTAAGATCTGCAAGCGGATAGTTGGCTTCGCTTTGTGTCCTTTGGTGGAAACGGGAATATCTTCTAATAAAAACTAGACAGAAATATTCTCAGAATCTCCTTTGTGATGTGGGCATTCAACTAACACAGTTGAACATTTCTTTTCACAGAGCAGTTTTGAAACACTCTTTTGGTAGTATCTGCCAGTGGATATTTGGAGCGCTTGGAGGGCTATTGTGCCAATGGAAATATCTGCCCCTGAAAACTAGACAGAAGCATTCTCAGAAACTACTTCGTGATGTTTGCATTCAACACACAGAGTTGAACATACCTCTTCACAGAGCAGTTTTGAAAACCTCTTTCTGTACAATCTGCAAGTGGATATTCGGACCACTTTGAGGCCTTCATAGGAAACAGTAATATCTTCACATAAAAACTAGACAGAAGCATTGTCAGAAAGTTCTTTGTGATGTGTGAATTCAACTCACAGAGTTGAACCTTCCTTTAATAGAGCAGTTTTGAAACACTCTTTTTCTAGAATCTGCAAGTAGATACTTGGAGCGCTTTGAGGCCTTCGTTGGAAACCGGAATATCTTCACAGGAAAAGTAGATAGAGGCATTCTCAGAAACTTTTTTGTGATATGTAGATTCAACTCACAGCGTTGAACCTTTCTTTGGATGGAGCAGTTTTGAAAAACTCTTTTATCGAATCTGCAGGTAGACATTTGGGGAGCTTTGAGGGCTGTGGTGCAAAAGGAAATGTCTTCCCATAGAAACTAGACTGAAGCATTCTCAGCAACTTCTTTGTGACGTTTGCATTCATCTCACAGTGTTGAACATACCTTTCCATAGAGTAGTTTTGAAACACTGTTTTTGTAGAATCTGCAAGTGGATATTTGGAATGCTTTGAGGCCTTCATCGGAAACGGGAATATCTTCACATAAACACTAGAGAGAAGCATTCTCAGAAACTTCTTTGTGATCTGTCCATTCAACTCACAGAGGTGAACCTTCCTTTTTATGGAGCAGTTTTGAAACACTGTTTTTGGAGAATCTGCAAGTGGATATTTGGAGCGCTTTGAGGCCTATGGTAGAAAAAGAAATATCTGCTTCTAAAAACCAGACAGAAGCATTCTGAGCAAACTTCTTTGTGATGTTTGCATTCAACTACCAGAGTTGAACCTTCCTTTTGATAGGGCAGTTTGGAAACACTCTTTTTGTAGAATCTGCATGTGGATATCTGGAGCGATTTGAGGCCTACGGTCCAAAAGGAAATATCTTCCTGGGAAAAATAGACGAAAGCATTCTCAGAAACTGCTTTGTGATATGTGCATTCGACTCACCGAGTTGAAACTTTTTTTTGATAGAGCAGTTTTGAAACACTCTGTAGAATCTGAAAGTGGATATTTGGAGCTCTTTGAGGGCTATGTCGGAAAAGAAAATATATTCACATTAAAGTAGACAGCAGCATTCTCAGAAACTTCTTTAGGATGTCTGCAGTAAACTCACAGAGTTGAACATACCTTTCCGTAGAGCAGTTTTGAAACACTCTGTTTGTGGGATCCGCAAGTGGATATTTGGACAGCTTTGAGATCTTTGCTGGAAATGGGAATATCTTCACATATAAACTAGACAGAAGCATTCTCAGAAACTTCTTCGTGATGTGCGCATTCTACTCCCAAATTTGAATCTTCCTTCTCATGAAGCAGTTTTGAAACACTCTATTTGTGCAATCTACAATTGGATAATTGGAACCCTTTGATGCCCATGGTAGAAAAGGAAATATCCTCATATAAAAACTAGACAGAAGGATTCACAGAAAATGCTTTGTGATGTGTGCATTCAAATCACGGAGTTGAATCTTTCTTTTGTTAGAGCAGTTTTGAAACACTGTTTCTGTGGAATCTGCCAGCGGACACTTGGAGTGCTTTGAGGGCTATGGTGGAGAAGGAAATATCTTCACATAAAAACTAGAAAGAAGCATTCTCGGAAACATTTATGTGAAGCGTGCCTTCAACTCACAGAGTTGAACCTTCCTTTTGATAGAACAGTTTTGAAACACTCTTTTGAACAATTGCAGGTGAATCCTTTGGAGCGCTTTGAAGCCTTTGTTGGAAATGGGAATATCTTCACACACAAACTAGCCAGAAGCATTCTCAGAAACTTCTTTGTGATGTGTGCGTTGAACCCAGAGAGATGAACCTTTCCTTTGATAGAGCAGTTTTGAAACGTGTTTTTGTAAGATCGGCAAGTGGATAATTGGCTTCGCTTTGTGTCCTTTGGTGGAAACGGGAATATCTTCTAATAAAAACTAGACAGAAATATTCTCAGAATCTTCTTTGTGATGTGGGCATTCAGCTAACACAGTTGAACGTTTCTTTTCACAGAGCAGTTTTGAAACACTCTTTTGGTAGAATCTGCCAGTGGATATTTGGAGCGATTTGAGGGCTATTGTGCCAATGGAAATATCTGCCCCTAAAAACTAGACAGAAGCATTCTCAGAAACTGCTTTGTGATGTTTGCATTCAACTCACAGTGTTGAACCTACCTCTTCATAGAGCAGTTTGGAAAACCTCTTCTTGTAGAATCTGCAAGTGGATATTCGGACCACTTTGAGGCCTTCATAGGAAACAGTAATATCTTCACATAAAAACTAGATAGAAGCATTGTCAGAAAGTTCTTTGTGATGTGTGAATTCAACTCACAGAGTTGAACCTTCCTTTAATAGAGCAGTTTTGAAACACTCTTTTTCTAGAATCTGCAAGTAGATATTTGGAGCGCTTTGAGGCCTTCGTTGGAAAGCGGAACATCTTCACAGGAAAAGTAGATAGAGGCATTCTCAGAAACTTTTTTGTGATATGTAGATTCAACTCACAGCGTTGAACCTTTCTTTGGATGGAGCAGTTTTGAAAAACTCTTTTATCGAATCTGCAGGTAGACATTTGGGGTGCTTTGAGGGCTGTGGCGCAAAAGGAAATGTCTTCCCATAGAAACTAGACTGAAGCATTCTCAGCAACTTCTTTGTGACGTTTGCATTCATCTCACAGTGTTGAACATACCTTTCCATAGGGTAGTTTTGAAGCACTATTTTTGTAGAATCTGCAAGTGGATATTTGGACTGCTTTGTGGCCTTCATCGGAAAGGGGAATATCTTCACATAAACACTAGACAGAAGCATTCTCAGAAACTTCTTTGTGATCTGTCCATTCAACTCACAGAGTTGAACCTTCCTTTTTATGGAGCAGTTTTGAAACACTGTTTTTGGAGAATCTGCAAGTGGATATTTGGAGCGCCTTGAGGCCTATGGTAGAAAAAGAAATATCTGCCTCTAAAAACTAGACAGAAGCATTCTGAGAAACTTCTTTGTGATGTTTGCATTCATATACCAGAGTTGAACCTTTCTTTTGATAGGGCAGTTTGGAAACACTCTTTTTGTAGAATCTGCATGTGGATATCTGGAGCGATTTGAGGCCTACGGTCCAAAAGGAAATATCTTCCTGGGAAAAATAGACGAAAGCATTCTCAGAAACTGCTTTGTGATATGTGCATTCGACTCACCGAGTTGAAACTTTTTTTTGATAGAGCAGTTTTGAAACACTCTGTAGAATCTGAAAGTGGATATTTGGAGCTCTTTGAGGGCTATGGCGGAAAAGAAAATATATTCACATTAAACTAGACAGCAGCATTCTCAGAAAGTTCTTTAGGATGTTTGCAGTAAACTCACAGAGTTTAACTTACCTTTCCGTAGAGCAGCTTTGAAACACTCTGTTTGTGGGATCCACAAGTGGATATTTGGACCGCTTTGAGACCTTTGCTGGAAATGGGAATATCTTCACATATAAACCAGACAGAAGCATTTTCAGAAACTTCTTCGTGATGTGTGCATTCTACTCCCAAATTTGAATCTTCCTTCTCATGAAGCAGTTTTGAAACACTCTGTTTGTGCAATCCACAATTGGATAATTGGAAAGCTTTGATGCCCATGGTAGAAAAGGAAATATCCTCATATAAAAACTAGACAGAAAGGATTCACAGAAAATGCTTTGTGATGTGTGCATTCAAATCACGGAGTTGAATCTTTCTTTTGTCAGAGCAGTTTTGAAACACTGTTACTGTGGAATCTTCCAGCGGACACTTGGAGCGCTTTGAGGGCTATGGTGGAGAAGGAAATATCTTCACATAAAAACTAGAAAGAAGCATTCTCAGAACCATTTATGTGAAGCGTGCGTTCAACTCACAGAGTTGAACCTTCCTTTTGATAGAACAGTTTTGAAACACTCTTTTGAACAATTGCAGGTGAATATTTGGAGGGCTTTGAAGCCTTTGTTGGAAATGGGAATATCTTCACACACAAACTAGCCAGAAACATTCTCAGAAACTTCTTTGTGATGTGTGCGTTGAACCCAGAGAGATGAACCTTTCCTTTGAAAGAGCAGTTTTGAAACGTGTTTTTGTAAGATCGGCAAGCGGATAATTGGATTCGCTTTGTGTCCTTTGGTGGAAACGCGAATATCTTCTAATAAAAACTAGACAGAAATATTCTCAGAATCTCCTTTGTGATGTGGGCATTCAACTAACACAGTTGAACATTTCTTTTCACAGAGCAGTTTTGAAACACTCTTTTGGTAGAATCTGCCAGTGGATATTTGGAGCGCTTGGAGGGCTACTGTGCCAATGGAAATATCCTGCCCCTGAAAACTAGACAGAAGCATTCTCAGAAACTGCTTTGTGATGTTTGCATTCAACTCACAGAGTTGAACATACCTCTTCATAGATCAGTTTTGAAAACCTCTTTTTGTAGAATCTGCAAGTGGATATTTGGACCACTTTGAGGCCTTCATAGATACAGTAATATCTTCACATAAAAACTAGATGGAAAGCATTGTCAGAAAGTTCTTTGTGATGTGTGAATTCAACTCACAGAGTTGAACCTTCCTTTAATAGAGCAGTTTTGAAACACTCTTTTTCTAGAATCTGCCAGTAGATATTTGGAGCGCTTTGAGGCCTTCGTTGGAAACAGGAATATCTTCACATAAAAAGTAGATAGAGGCATTCTCAGAAACTTTTTTGTGATATGTAGATTCAACTCACAGCGTTGAACCTTTCTTTGCATGGAGCAGTTTTGAAAATCCCTTTTATCGAATCTGCAGGTAGACATTTGGGGTGCTTTGAGGGCTGTGGTGCAAAAGGAAATGTCTTCCCATAGAAACTAGACTGCAGCATTCTCAGCAACTTCTTGGTGACGTTTGCATTCATCTCACAGTGTTGAACATACCTTTCCATAGAGTGGTTTTGAAACACTGTTTTTGTAGAATCGGCAAGTGGATATTTGGACTGCTTTGAGGCCTTCATCGGAAACGGGAATATCTTCACATAAACACTAGAGAGAAGCATCCTCAGAAACTTCTTTGTCATCTGTCCATTCAACTCACAGAGTTGAACCTTCCTTTTTCTGGAGCAGTTTTGAAACACTCTTTTTGGAGAATCTGCAAGTGGATATTTGGAGCGCTTTGAGGCCTATGGTAGAAAAAGAAATATCTGCCTCTAAAAACCAGACAGAAGCATTCCGAGAAACTTCTCTGTGATGTTTGCATTCAACTAGCAGAGTTGAACCTTCCTTTTGATAGGGCAGTTTGGAAACACTCTTTTTGTAAAATCTGCATGTGGATATCTGGAGCGGTTTGACGCCTACGGTCAAAAAGGAAATATCTTCCTGGGAAAAATAGACGAAAGCATTCTCAGAAAGTGCTTTGTGATATGTGCATTCGACTCACCGAGTTGAAACTTTTTTTTGATAGAGCAGTTTTGAAACACTCTGTAGAATCTGAAAGTGGATATTTGGAGCTCTTTGAGGGCTATGGCGGAAAAGAAAATATATTCACATTAAAGTAGACAGCAGCATTCTCAGAGACTTCTTTAGGATGTTTGCAGTAAACTCACAGAGTTCAACATACCTTTCCGTAAAGCAGTTTTGAAACCCTCTGTTTGTGGGATCTGCAAGTGGATATTTGGACCGCTCTGAGACCTTTGCTGGAAATGGGAATATCTTCACATATAAACTAGACAGAAAGCATTCTCAGAAACTTCTTCGTGATGTGTGCATTCTACTCCCGAATTTGAATCTTCCTTTTCATGAAGCAGTTTTGAAACACTCTGTTTGTGCAATCCACAATTGGATAATTGGAACGCTTTGATGCCCATGGTAGAAAAGGAAATATCCTCATATAAAAACTAGACAGAAAGATTCACAGAAAATGCTTTGTGATGTGTGCATTCGAATCACGCAGTTGAATCTTTCTTTTCTTAGAGCAGTTTTGAAACACTGTTTCTGTGGAATCTGCCAGCGGACACTTGGAGCGCTTTGAGGGCTATGGTGGAGAAGGAAATATCTTCCCATAAAAACTAGAAAGAAGCATTCTCGGAAACATTTATGTGAAGCGTGCATTCAACTCACAGAGTTGAACCTTCCTTTTGATGGAACAGTTTTGAAACACTCTTTTGAACAATTGCAGGTGAATCTTTGGAGCGCTTTGAAGCCTTTGTTGGAAATGGGAATATCTTCACACACAAACTAGCCAGAAGCATTCTCAGAAACTTCTTTGTGATGTGTGCGTTGAACCCAGAGAGATGAACCTTTCCTTGGATAGAGCAGTTTTGAAACGTGTTTTTGTAAGATCGGCAAGTGGATAATTGGCTTCGCTTTGTGTCCTTTGGTGGAAACGGGAATATCTTCTAATAAAAACTAGACAGAAATATTCTCAGAATCTTCTTTGTGATGTGGGCATTCAACTAACACAGTTGAACATTTCTTTTCACAGAGCAGTTTTGAAACACTCTTTTGGTGGAATCTGCCAGTGGATATTTGGAGCGCTTTGAGGGCTATTGTGCCAATGCAAATATCTTCCCCTAAAAACTAGACAGAAGCATTCTCAGAAACTGCTTCGGGATGTTTGCATTCAACTCACAGAGTTGAACATACCTCTGCATAGAGCAGTTTTGAAAACCTCTTTTTGTAGAATCTGCAAGTGGATATTCGGACCACTTTGAGGCCTTCATGGGAAACAGTAGTATCTTCACATAAAAACTAGATAGAAGCATTGTCAGAAAGTTCTTTGTGATGTGTGAATTCAACTCACAGAGTTGAACCTTCCTTTAATAGAGCAGTTTTGAAACACTCTTTTTGTAGAATCTGCAAGTAGATTTTTGGAGCGCTTTGAGGCCTTCTTTGGAAACCGGAATATCTTCACATAAAAAGTAGATAGAGGCATTCTCAGAAACTTTTTTGTGATATGTAGATTCAACTCACAGCGTTGAACCTTTCTTTGGATGGAGCAGTTTTGAAAAACTCTTTTATTGAATCTGCAGGTAGACATTTGGGGTGCTTTGAGGGCTGTGGTGCAAAAGGAAATGTCTTCCCATAGAAACTAGACTGAAGCATTCTCAGCAACTTCTTTGTGACGTTTGCATTCATCTCACAGTGTTGAACATACCTTTCCATAGAGTAGTTTTGAAGCACTATTTTTGTAGAATCTGCAAGTGGATATTTGGACTGCTTTGAGGCCTTCATCGGAAACGGGAATATCTTCACATAAACACTAGACAGAAGCATTCTCAGAAACTTCTTTGTGGTCTGTCCATTCAACTCACAGAGTTGAACCTTCCTTTTTATGGAGCAGTTTTGAAACACTGTTTTTGGAGGATCTGCAAGTGGATATTTGGAGCGCTTTGAGGCCCATGGTAGAAAAAGAAATATGTGCCTATGACAACTAGACAGAAGCATTCCAAGAAACTTCTCTGTGATGTTTGCATTCAACTAGCAGAGTTGAACCTTCCTTTTGATAGGGCAGTTTGGAAACACTCTTTTTGTAGAATCTGCATGTGGATATCTGGAGCGGTTTGAGGCCTACGGTCAAAAAGGAAATATCTTCCTGGGATAAATAGACGAAAGCATTCTCAGAAACTGCTTTGTGATATGTGCATTCGACTCACCGAGTTGAAACTTTTTTTTGATAGAGCAGTTTTGAAACACTCTGTAGAATCTGAAAGTGGATATTTGGAGCTCTTTGAGGGCTATGGCGGAAAAGAAAATATATTCACATTAAACTAGAGAGGAGCATTCCCAGAAACTTCTTTAGGATGTTTGCAGTAAACTCACAGAGTTGAACATACCTTTCCGTAGAGCAGTTTTGAAACACTCTGTTTGTGGTATCCGCAAGTGGATATTTGGACCGCTTTGAGACCTTTGCTGGAAACGGGAATACCTTCACATATAAACTAGACAGAAGCATTCTCAGAAACTTCTTCGTGATGTGTGCATTCTACTCCCAAATTTGAATCTTCCTTTTCATGAAGCAGTTTTGAAACACTCTGTTTGTGCAATCCACAATTGGATAATTGGAACGCTTTGATGCCCATGGTAGAAAAGGAAATATCCTCATATAAAAACTAGACAGAAGAATTCACAGAAAATGCTTTGTGATGTGTGCATTCAAATCACGGAGTTGAATCTTTCTTTTGTCAGAGCAGTTTTGAAACACTGTTTCTGTGGAATCTGCCAGCGGACACTTGCAGCGCTTTGAGGGCTATGGTGGAGAAGGAAATATCTTCCCATAAGAACTAGAAAGAAGCATTCTCAGAAACATTTTTGTGAAGCGTGCATTCAACTCACAGAGTTGAACCTTCCTTTTGATACAACAGTTTTGAAACACTCTTTTGAACAATTGCAGGTGAATCTTTGGAGCGCTTTGAAGCCTTTGTTGGAAATGGGAATATCTTCACACACAAACTAGCCAGAAGCATTCTCAGAAACTTCTTTGTGATGTGTGCGTTGAACCCAGAGAGATGAACCTTTCCTTTGATAGAGCAGTTTTGAAACGTGTTTTTGTAAGATCTGCAAGCGGATAGTTGGCTTCGCTTTGTGTCCTTTGGTGGAAACGGGAATATCTTCTAATAAAAACTAGACAGAAAATATTCTCAGAATCTTCTTTGTGATGTGGGCATTCAGCTAACACAGTTGAACGTTTCTTTTCACAGAGCAGTTTTGAAACACTCTTTTGGTAGAATCTGCCAGTGGATATTTGGAGCGCTTTGAGGGCTATTGTGCCAATGGAAAATCTGCCCCTAAAAACTAGACAGAAGCATTCTCAGAAACTGCTTTGGGATGTTTGCATTCAACTCACAGAGTTGAACATACCTCTGCATAGAGCAGTTTTGAAAACCTCTTTTTGTAGAATCTGCAAGTGGATATTCGGACCACTTTGAGGCCTTCATAGGAAACAGTAATATCATCACATAAAAACTAGATAGAAGCATTGTCAGGAAGTTCTTTGTGATGTGTGAATTAAACTCACAGAGTTGAAACTTCCTTTAATAGAGCAGTGTTGAAACACTCTTTTTCTAGAATCTGCAAGTAGATATTTGGGGCGCTTGGAGGCCTTCGTTGTAAACCGGAATATCTTCACAGGAAATGTAGATAGAGGCATTCTCAGAAACTTTTTTGTGATATGTAGATTCAACTCACAGCGTTGAACCTTTCTTTGGATGGAGCAGTTTTGAAAAACTCTTTTATCGAATCTGCAGGTAGACATTTGGGGTGCTTTGAGGGCTGTGGTGCAAAAGGAAATGTCTTCCCATAGAAACTAGACTGAAGCATTCTCAGCAACTTCTTGGTGACGTTTGCATTCATCTCACAGTGTTGAACATACCTTTCCATAGAGTGGTCTTGAAACACTGTTTCTGTAGAATCGGCAAGTGGATATTTGGACTGCTTTGAGGCCTTCATCGGAAACGGGAATATCTTCACATAAACACTAGAGAGAAGCATTCTCAGAAACTTCTTTGTGATCTGTCCGTTCAACTCACAGAGTTGAACCTTCCTTTTTATGGAGCAGTTTTGAAACACTGTTTGTGGAGAATCTGCAAGTGGATATTTGGAGCGCCTTGAGGCCAATGGTAGAAAAAGAAATATCTGCCTCTAAATACTAGACTGAAGCATTCCGAGAAACTTCTCTGTGATGTTTGCATTCAACTAGCAGAGTTGAAACTTCCTTTTGATAGGGCAGTTTGGAGACACTCTTTTTTTAGAATCTGCATGTGGATATCTGGAGCGGTTTGAGGCCTACGGTCAAAAAGGAAATATCTTCCTGGGAAAAATAGACGAAAGCATTCTCAGAAATTGCTTTGTGATATGTGCATTCGACTCACCGAGTTGAAACTTTTTTTTGATAGAGCAGTTTTGAAACACTCTGTAGAATCTGAAAGTGGATATTTGGAGCTCTTTGAGGGCTATGGCGGAAAAGAAAATATATTCACATTAAAGTAGACAGCAGCATTCCCAGAAACTTCCTTAGGATGTTTGCAGTAAACTCACAGAGTTGAACACACCTTTCCATAGAGCAGTTTTGAAACACTCTGTTTGTGGAATCCGCAAGTGGATATTTGGACCGCTTTGAGACCTTTGCTGGAAACGGGAATATCTTCACATATAAACTGGACAGAAGCATTCTCAGAAACTTCTTCGAGATGTGTGCAGTCTACTCCCGAATTTGAATCTTCCTTTTCATGAAGCAGTTTTGAAACACTCTGTTTGTGCAATCCACAATTGGATAATTGGAACGCTTTGATGCCCATGGTAGAAAAGGAAATATCCTCATATAAAAACTAGACAGAAGGATTCACAGAAAATGCTTTGTGATGTGTGCATTCAAATCACGGAGTTGAATCTTTCTTTTGTCAGAGCAGTTTTGAAACACTGTTTCTGTGGAATCTGCCAGCGGACACTTGCAGCGCTTTGAGGGCTATGGTGGAGAAGGAAATATCTTCCCATAAGAACTAGAAAGAAGCATTCTCAGAAACATTTATGTGAAGCGTGCATTCAACTCATAGAGTTGAACCTTCCTTTTGATACAACAGTTTTGAAACACTCTTTGGAACAATTGCAGGTGAATCTTTGGAGCGCTTTGAAGCCTTTGTTGGAAATGGGAATATCTTCACACACAAACTAGCCAGAAGCATTCTCAGAAACTTCTTTGTGATGTGTGCGTTGAACCCAGAGAGATGAACCTTTCCTTTGATAGAGCAGTTTTGAAACGTGTTTTTGTAAGATCGGCAAGCGGATAATTGGCTTCGCTTTGTGTCCTTTGGTGGAAACGGGCATGTCTTCTAATAAAAACTAGACAGAGATATTCTCAGAAACTTCTTTGTGATGTGGGCATTCACCTAACACAGTTGAACATTTCTTTTCACAAAGCAGTTTTGAAACACTCCTTTGGTCGAATCTGCCAGTGGATATTTGGAGCGCTTTGAGGGCTATTGTGCCAATGGAAATATCTGCCCCTAAAAACTAGACAGAAGCATTCTCAGAAACTGCTTTGTGATGTTTGCATTCAACTCACAGAGTTGAACATACCTCTTCATAGAGCAGTTTTGAAAACCCCTTTTTGTAGAATCTGCAAGTGGATATTTGGACCACTTTGAGGCCTTCATAGAAAACAGTAATATCCTCACATAAAAACTAGATGGAAACATTGTCAGAAAGTTCTTTGTGATGTGTGAATTCAACTCACAGAGTTGAACCTTCCTTTAATAGAGCAGTTTTGAAACACTCTTTTTCTAGAATCTGCAAGTAGATATTTGGAGCGCTTTGAGGCCTTCGTTGGAAACCGGAATATCTTCACAGGAAAAGTAGATAGAGGCATTCTCAGAAACCTTTTTGTGATATGTAGATTCAACTCACAGAGTTGAACCTTTCTTTGGATGGAGCAGTTTTGAAAAACCCTTTTATCGAATCTGCAGGTAGACATTCGGGGTGCTTTGAGGGCTGTGGTGCAAAAGGAAATGTCTTCCCATAGAAACTTGACTGAAGCCTTCTCAGCAACTTCTTTGTGACGTTTGCATTCATCTCACAGTGTTGAACATGCCTTTCCCTAGAGTAGTTTTGAAACACTATTTTTGTAGAATCTGCAAGTGGACATTTGGACTGCTTTGAGGCCTTCATCGGAAACGGGAATATCTTCACATAAACACTAGACAGAAGCATTCTCAGAAACTTCTTTGTGATCTGTCCATTCAACTCACAGAGTTGAACCCTCCTTTTTATGGAGCAGTTTTGAAACACTGTTTTTGGAGAATCTGCAAGTGGATATTTGGAGCGCTTTGAGGCCTATGGTAGAAAAAGAAATATCTGCCCCTAAAAACTAGACAGAAGCATTCTGAGAAACTTCTTTGTGATGTTTACATTCACCTACCAGAGTTGAACCTTCCTTTTGATAGGGCAGTTTGGAAACACTCTTTTTGTAGAATCTGCATGTGGATATCTGGAGCGATTTGAGGCCTACTGTCCAAAAGGAAATATCTTCCTGGGAAAGATAGACGAAAGCATTCTCAGTAAACTGCTTTGTGATATGTGCATTCGACTCACCGAGTTGAAACATTTTTTTGATAGAGCAGTTTTGAAACACTCTGTAGAATCTGAAAGTGGATATTTGGAGCTCTTTGAGGGCTATGGCGGAAAAGAAAATATATTCACATTAAACTAGACAGCCAGCATTCTCAGAAACTTCTTTAGGATGTTTGCAGTAAACTCACAGAGTTGAACATACCTTTCCGTAGAGCAGTTTTGAAACACTCTGTTTGTGGGATCCGCAAGTGGATATTTGGACCGCTTTGAGACCTTTGCTGGAAATGGGAATATCTGCACATATAAACTAGACAGAGCATTCTCAGAAACTTCTTCGTGATGTGTGCATTGTACTCCCAAATTTGCATCTTCCTTCTCATGGAGCAGTTTTGAAACACTCTGTTTGTGCAATCTACAATTGGAGAATTGGAACGCTTGGATGCCTGTGGTAGAAAAGGAAATATCCTCATATAAAAACTAGACAGAAGGATTCACAGAAAACGCTTTGTGATGTGTGCATTCAAATCACGGAGTTGAATCTTTCTTTTGTTAGAGCAGTTTTGAAACACTGTTTCTGTGGAATCTGCCAGCGGACACTTGGAGCGCTTTGAGGGCTATGGTGGAGAAGGAAATATCTTCACATAAAAACTAGAAAGAAGCATTCTCAGAAACATTTATGTGAAGCGTGCATTCAACTCACAGAGTTGAACCTTCCTTTTGATACAACAGTTTTGAAACACTCTTTTGAACAATTGCAGGTGAATCTTTGGAGCGCTTTGAAGCCTTTGTTGGAAATGGGAATATCTTCACACACAAACTAGCCGGAAGCATTCTCAGAAACTTCTTTGTGATGTGTGCGTTGAACCCAGAGAGATGAACCTTTCCTTTGATAGAGCAGTTTTGAAACGTGTTTTTGTAAGATCGGCAAGCGGATAATTGGCTTCGCTTTGTGTCCTTTGGTGGAAACGGGAATATCTTCTAATAAAAACTAGACAGAAATATTCTCAGAATCTCCTTTGTGATGTGGGCATTCAACTAACACAATTGAACATTTCTTTTCACAGAGCAGTTTTGAAACACAGTTTTGGTAGAATCTGCCAGTGGATATTTGGAGCGCTTGGAGGGCTACTGTGCCAATGGAAATATCTGCCCCTGAAAACTAGACAGAAGCATTCTCAGAAACTGCTTCGTGATGTTTGCATTCAACTCACAGGGTTGAACATACCTCTGCATAGAGCAGTTTTGAAAACCTCTTTTTGTAGAATCTGCAAGTGGATATTCGGACCACTTTGAGGATTTCATAGGAAACAGTAATATCTTCACATAAAAACTAGATAGAAGCATTGTCAGAAAGTTCTTTGTGATGTGTGAATTCAACTCACAGAGTTGAACCTTCCTTTATTAGAGCAGTTTTGAAACACTCTTTTTCTAGAATCTGCAAGTAGATATTTGGAGGGCTTTGAGGCCTTCGTTGGAAACCGGAATATCTTCACATAAAAAGTAGATAGAGGCATTCTCAGAAACTTTTTTGTGATATGTAGATTCAACTCACAGTGTTGAACCTTTCTTTGGATGGAGCAGTTTTGAAAAACTCTTTTATCGAATGTGCAGGTAGACATTTGGGGTGCTTTGAGGGCTGTGGTGCAAAAGGAAATGTCTTCCCATAGAAACTAGACTGAAGCATTCTCAGCAACTTCTTGGTGACGTTTGCATTCATCTCACAGTGTTGAACATACCTTTCCATAGAGTGGTTTTGAAACACTCTTTTTGTAGAATCGGCAAGTGGATATTTGGACTGCTTTCAGGCCTTCATCGGAAACGGGAATATCTTCACATAAACACCAGAGAGAAGCATTCTCAGAAACTTCTTTGTCATCTGTCCATTCAACTCACAGAGTTGAACCTTCCTTTTTATGGAGCAGTTTTGAAACACTCATTTTGGAGAATCTGCAAGTGGATATTTGGAGCGCTTTGAGGCCTATGGTAGAAAAAGAAATATCTGCCTCTAAAAACCAGACAGAAGCATTCTGAGAAACTTCTTTGTGATGTTTACATTCAACTACCAGAGTTGAACCTTCCTTTTGATAGGGCAGTTCGGAAACACTCCTTTTGTAGAATCTGCATGTGGATATCTGGAGCGATTTGAGGCCTACGGTCCAAAAGGAAATATCTTCCTGGGAAAAATGGACGAAAGCATTCTCAGAAAGTGCTTTGTGATATGTGCATTCGACTCACCGAGTTGAAACTTTTTTTTGATAGAGCAGTTTTGAAACACTCTGTAGAATCTGAAAGTGGATATTTGGAGCTCTTTGAGGGCTATGGCGGAAAAGAAAATATATTCACGTTAAAAAAGTAGACAGCAGCATTCTCAGAAACTTCTTTAGGATGTTTGCAGTAAACTCACAGAGTTGAACATACCTTTCCATAGAGCAGTTTTGAAACACTCTGTTTGTGGGATCCGCAAGGGGATATTTGGACCGCTTTGAGACCTTTGCTGGAAATGGGAATATCTTCACATATAAACTAGACAGAAGCATTCTCAGAAACTTCTTTCGTGATGTGTGCATTCTCCTCCCGAATTTGAATCTTCCTTTTCATGAAGCAGTTTTGAAACACTCTGTTTGTGCAATCCACAATTGGATAATTGGAACGCTTTGATGCCCATGGTAGAAAAGGAAATATCCTCATATAAAAACTAGACAGAAGGATTCACAGAAAATGCTTTGTGATGTGTGCATTCAAATCACGGAGTTGAATCTTTCTTTTGTTAGATCAGTTTTGAAACACTGTTTCTGTGGAATCTGCCAGCGGACACTTGGAGCGCTTTGAGGGCTACGGTGGAGAAGGAAATATCTTCACATAGAAACTAGAAAGAAGCATTCTCAGAACCATTTATGTGAAGCGTGCATTCAACTCACAGCAGTTGAACCTTCCTTTTGATAGAACAGTTTTGAAACACTCTTTTGAACAATTGCAGGTGAATATTTGGAGGGCTTTGAAGCCTTTGTTGGAAATGGGAATATCTTCACACACGAACTAGCCAGAAGCATTCTCAGAAACTTCTTTGTGATGTGTGCGTTGAACCCAGAGAGATGAACCTTTCCTTTGATAGAGCAGTTTTGAAACGTGTTTTTGTAAGATCTGCAAGCGGATAGTTGGCTTCGCTTTGTGTCCTTTGGTGGAAACGGGAATATCTTCTAATAAAAACTAGACAGAAAATATTCTCACAATCTCCTTTGTGATGTGGGCATTCAACTAACACAGTTGAACATTTCTTTTCACAGAGCAGTTTTGAAACACTCTTTTGGTAGAATCTGCCAGTGGATATTTGGAGCGCTTTGAGGGCTGTTGTGCCAATGGAAATATCTGCCCCTAAAATCTAGACAGAAGCATTCTCAGAAACTACTTCGTGATGTTTGCATTCAACTCACAGAGTTGAACATACCTCTTCACAGAGCAGTTTTGAAAACCTCTTTTTGTAGAATCTGCAAGTGGATATTCGGAGCACTTTGAGGCCTTCATAGGAAACAGTAATATCTTCGCATAAAAACTAGATAGAAGCATTGTCAGAAAGTTCTTTGTGATGTGTGAATTCAACTCACAGAGTTGAACCTTCCTTTAATAGAGCAGTTTTGAAACACTCTTTTTCTAGAATCTGCCAGTAGATATTTGGAGCGCTTTGAGTCCTTCGTTGGAAACCGGAATATCTTCACATAAAAAGTAGATAGAGGCATTCTCAGAAACTTTTTTGTGATATGTAGATTCAACTCACAGCGTTGAACCTTTCTTTGGATGGAGCAGTTTTGAAAAACTCTTTTATCGAATCTGCAGGTAGACTTTCGGGGTGCTTTGAGGGCTGTGGTGCAAAAGGAAATGTCTTCCCATAGAAACTAGACTGAAGCATTCTCAGCAACTTCTTTTGACGTTTGCATTCATCTCACAGTGTTGAACATACCTTTCCATAGAGTAGTTTTGAAACACTGTTTTTGTAGAATCGGCAAGTGGATATTTGGACTGCTTTGAGGCCTTCATCGGAAACGGGAATATCTTCACATAAACACTAGAGAGAAGCATTCTCAGAAACTTCTTTGTGGTCTGTCCATTCAACTCACAGAGTTAAACCTTACTTTTTATGGAGCAGTTTTGAAACACTGTTTTCGGACGAACTGCAAGTGGATATTTGGAGCGCTTTGAGGCCTATGGTAGAAAAAGAAATATCTGCCTATGACAGCTAGACAGAAGCATTCCGAGAAACTTCTTTGTGATGTTTGCATTCAACTAGCAGAGTTGAACCTTCCTTTTGATAGGGCAGTTTGGAAACACTCTTTTTGTAGAATCTGCATGTGGATATCTGGAGCGGTTTGAGGCCTACGGTCAAAAAGGAAATATCTTCCTGGGAAAAATAGACGAAAGCATTCTCAGAAACTGCTTTGTGATATGTGCATTCGACTCTCCGAGTTGAAACTTTCTTTGGATAGAGCAGTTTTGAAACACTCTGTAGAATCTGAAAGTGGATATTTGGAGCTCTTTGAGGGCTATGGCGGAAAAGAAAAGATATTCACATTAAACTAGACAGCAGCATTCTCAGAAACTTCTTTAGGATGTTTGCAGTAAACTCACAGAGTTGAACCTACCTTTCCGTAGAGCAGTTTTGAAACACTCTGTTTGTGGGATCCGCAAGTGGATATTTGGACCGCTTTGAGACCTTTGCTGGAAATGGGAATATCTTCACATATAGAACTAGACAGAAGCATTCTCAGAAACTTCTTCGTGATGTGTGCATTCTACTCCCAAATTTGAATCTTCCTTCTCATTAAGCAGTTTTGAAACACTCTATTTGTGCAATCTACAATTGGAGAATTGGAACACTTGGATGCCCGTGGTTGAAAAGGAAATATCCTCATATAAAAACTAGACAGAAGGATTCACAGAAAATGCTTTGTGATGTGTGCATTCAAATCACGGAGTTGAATCTTTCTTTTGTTAGAGCAGTTTTGAAACACTGTTTCTGTGGAATCTGCCAGCGGACACTTGGAGCGCTTTGAGGGCTATGGTGGAGAAGGAAACATCTTCCCATAAAAACTAGAAAGAAGCATTCTCAGAACCATTTATGTGAAGCGTCCATTCAACTCACAGAGTTGAACCTTCCTTTTGATAGAACAGTTTTGAAACACTCTTTTGAACAATTGCAGGTGAATATTTGGAGGGCTTTGAAGCCTTTGTTGGAAATGGGAATATCTTCACACACAAACTAGCCAGAAGCATTCTCAGAAACTTCTTTGTGATGTGTGCGTTGAACCCAGAGAGATGAACCTTTCCTTTGATAGAGCAGTTTTGAAACGTGTTTTTGTAAGGTCTGCAAGCGGATAATGGGCTTCGCTTTGTGTCCTTTGGTGGAAACGGGAACATCTTCTAATTAAAACTAGACAGAAATATTCTCAGAATCTCCTTTGTGATGTGGGCATTCAACTAACACAATTGAACATTTCTTTTCACAGAGCAGTTTTGAAACACAGTTTTGGTAGAATCTGCCAGTGGATATTTGGAGCGCTTGGAGGGCTATTTTGCCAATGGAAATATCTGCCCCTGAAAACTAGACAGAAGCATTCTCAGAAACTACTTCGTGATGTTTGCATTCAACACACAGAGTTGAACATACCTCTTCACAGAGCAGTTTTGAAAACCTCTTTCTGTAGAATCTGCAAGTGGATATTCGGACCACTTTGAGGCCTTCATAGGAAACAGAAATATCTTCACATAAAAACTAGATAGAAGCATTGACAGAAAGTTCTTTGTGATGTGTGAATTCAACTCACAGAGTTGAACCTTCCTTTAATAGAGCAGTTTTGAAACACTCTTTTTCTAGAATCTGCAAGTAGATATTTGGAGCGCTTTGAGGCCTTCGTTGGAAACCGGAATATCTTCACAGGAAAAGTAGATAGAGGCATTCTCAGAAACTTTTTTGTGATATGTAGATTCAACTCACAAGCGTTGAACCTTTCTTTGGATGGAGCAGTTTTGAAAAACTCTTTTATCGAATCTGCAGGTAGACATTTGGGGAGCTTTGAGGGCTGTGGTGCAAAAGGAAATGTCTTCCCATAGAAACTAGACTGAAGCATTCTCAGCAACTTCTTGGTGACGTTTGCATTCATCTCACAGTGTTGAACATACCTTTCCATAGAGTAGTTTTGAAACACTGTTTTTGTAGAATCGGCAAGTGGATATTTGGACTGCTTTGAGGCCTTCATCGGAAACGGGAATATCTTCACATAAACACTAGAGAGAAGCATTCTCAGAAACTTCTTTGTGATCTGTCCATTCAACCCACAGAGTTGAACCTTCCTTTTTATGGAGCAGTTTTGAAACACTCCTTTTGAAGAATCTGCAAGTGGATATTTGGAGCGCTTTGAGGCCTATGGTAGAAAAAGAAATATCTGCCTCTAAAAACCAGACAGAAGAATTCTGAGAAACTTCTTTGTGATGTTTGCATTCAACTACCAGAGGTGAACCTTCCTTTTGATAGGGCAGTTTGGAAACACTCTTTTTGTAGAATCTGCATGTGGATATCTGGAGCGATTTGAGGCCTACGGTCCAAAAGGAAATATCTTCCTGGGAAAAATAGACGAAAGCATTCTCAGAAACTGCTTTGTGATATGTGCATTCGACTCACCGAGTTGAAACTTTTTTTGGATAGAGCAGTTTTGAAACACTCTGTAGAATCTGAAAGTGGATATTTGGAGCTCTTTGAGGGCTATGGCGGAAAAGAAAATATATTCACAATAAACCAGACAGCAGCACTCTCAGAAACTTCTTTAGGATGTTTACAGTAAACTCACAGAGTTGAACATACCTTTCCGTAGAGCAGTTTTGAAACACTCTGTTTGTGGGATCCGCAAGTGGATATTTGGACCTCTTTGAGACCTTTGCTGGAAATGGGAATATCTTCACATATAAACTAGACAGAAAGCATTCTCAGAAACTTCTTCGTGATGTGTGCATTCTCCTCGCAAATTTGAATCTTCCTTTTCATGAAGCAGTTTTGAAACACTCTGTTTGTGCAATCCACAATTGGATAATTGGAACGCTTTGATGCCCATGGTAGAAAAGGAAATATCCTCATATAAAAACTAGACAGAAGGATTCACAGAAAATGCTTTGTGATGTGTGCATTCAAATCACGGAGTTGAATCTTTCTTTTGTCAGAGCAGTTTTGAAACACTGTTTCTGTGGAATCTGCCAGCGGACACTTGGAACGCTTTGAGGGCTACGGTGGAGAAGGAAATATCTTCCCATAAAAACTAGAAAGAAGCATTCTCAGAAACATTTATGTGAAGCGTGCATTCAACTCACAGAGTTGAACCTTCCTTTTGATACAACAGTTTTGAAACACTCTTTTGAACAATTGCAGGTGAATCTTTGGAGCGCTTTGAAGCCTTTGTTGGAAATGGGAATATCTTCACACACAAACTAGCCAGAAGCATTCTCAGAAACTTCTTTGTGATGTGTGCGTTGAACCCAGAGAGATGAACCTTTCCTTCGATAGAGCAGTTTTGAATCGCGTTTTTGTAAGATCGGCAAGCGGATAATTGGCTTCGCTTTGTGTCCTTTGGTGGAAACGGGAATATCTTCTAATAAAAACTAGACAGAAATATTCTCAGAATCTCCTTTGTGATGTGGGCATTCAACTAACACAGTTGAACATTTCTTTTCACAGAGCAGTTTTGAAACACTCTTTTGGTCGAATATGCCAGTGGATATTTGGAGCGCTTGGAGGGCTATTGTGCCAATGGAAATATCTGCCCCTGAAAACTAGACAGAAGCATTCTCAGAAACTGCTTTGTGATGTTTGCATTCAACTCACAGAGTTGAACATACCTTTTCATAGAGCAGTTTTGAAAACCTCTTTTTGTAGAATCTGCAAGAGGATATTCGGACCACTTTGAGGCCTTCATAGGAAACAGTAATATCTTCACATAAAAACTAGATAGAAGCATTGTCAGAAAGTTCTTTGTGATGTGTGAATTCCACTCACAGAGTTGAACCTTCCTTTAATAGAGCAGTTTTGAAACACTCTTTTTCTAGAATCTGCAAGTAGATATTTGGAGCGCTTTGAGGCCTTCTTTGGAAACCGGAATATCTTCACATAAAAAGTAGATAGAGGCATTCTCAGAAACTTTTTCGTGATATGTGGATTCAACTCACAGCGTTGAACCTTTCTTTTGATAGAGCAGTTTTGGAAAACTCTTTTATCGAATCTGCAAGTAGACATTTGGAGTGCTTTGAGGGCTGTGGTGCAAAAGGAAATGTCTTCCCATAGAAACTAGACTGAAGCATTCTCAGCAACTTCTTTGTGACGTTTGCATTCATCTCACAGTGTTGAACATACCTTTCCATAGAGTAGTTTTGAAACACTATTTTTGTAGAATCTGCAAGTGGATATTTGGACTGCTTTGAGGCCTTCATCGGAAACGGGAATATCTTCACATAAACACTAGACGGAAGCATTCTCAGAAACTTCTTTGTGATCTGTCCATTCAACTCACAGGAGTTGAACCTTCCTTTTTATGGAGCAGTTTTGAATCACTGTTTTTGGAGAATCTGCAAGTGGATATTTGGAGCGCTTTGAGGCCTATGGTAGAAAAAGAAATATCTGCCTCTAAAAACCAGACAGAAGCATTCTGAGAAACTTCTTTGTGATGTTTGCATTCAACTACCAGAGTTGAACCTTCCTTTTGATAGGGCAGTTTGGAAACACTCTTTTTGTAGAATCTGCATGTGGATATCTGGAGCGATTTGAGGCCTACGGTCAAAAAGGAAATATCTTCCTGGGAAAAATAGACGAAAGCATTCTCAGAAAGTGCTTTGTGATATGTGCATTCGACTCACCGAGTTGAAACTTTTTTTTGATAGAGCAGTTTTGAAACACTCTGTAGAATCTGAAAGTGGATATTTGGAGCTCCTTGAGGGCTATGGCGGAAAAGAAAATATATTCACATTAAAGTAGACAGCAGCATTCTCAGAAACTTCTTTAGGATGTTTGCAGTAAACTCGCAGAGTTTAACATACCTTTCCGTAGAGCAGTTTTGAAACACTCTGTTTGTGGGATCCGCAAGTGGATATTTGGACCGCTTTGAGACCTTTGCTGGAAATGGGAATATCTTGACGTATAAACTAGACAGAAGCATTCTCAGAAACTTCTTCGTGATGTGTGCATTGTACTCCCAAATTTGAATCTTCCTTCTCATGGAGCAGTTTTGAAACACTCTGTTTGTGCAATCTACAATTGGAGAATTGGAACGCTTGGATGCCCGTGGTAGAAAAGGAAATATCCTCATATAAAAACTAGACAGAAAGGATTCACAGAAAATGCTTTGTGATGTGTGCATTCAAATCACGGAGTTGAATTTTTCTTTTGTTAGAGCAGTTTTGAAACACTGTTTCTGTGGAATCTGCCAGCGGACACTTGGAGCGCTTTGAGGGCTATGGTGGAGAAGGAAATATCTTCACATAAAAACTAGAAAGAAGCATTCTCAGAACCATTTATGTGAAGCGTGCGTTCAACTCACAGAGTTGAACCTTCCTTTTGATAGAACAGTTTTGAAACACTCTTTTGAACAATTGCAGGTGAACATTTGGAGGGCTTTGAAGCCTTTGTTGGAAATGGGAATATCTTCACACACAAACTAGCCAGAAGCATTCTCAGAAATTTCTTTGTGATGTGTGCGTTGAACCCAGAGAGATGAACCTTTCCTTTGATAGAGCAGTTTTGAAACGTGTTTTTGTAAGATCTGCAAGCGGATAGTTGGCTTCGCTGTGTGTCCTTTGGTGGAAACGGGAATATCTTCTAATAAAAACTAGACAGAAATATTCTCAGAATCTTCTTTGTGATGCGGGCATTCACCTAACACAGTTGAACGTTTCTTTTCACAGAGCAGTTTTGAAACACTCTTTTGGTAGAATCTGCCAGTGGATATTTGGAGCGCTTTAAGGGCTATTGTGCCAATGGAAATATCTGCCCCTAAAAACTAGACAGAAGCATTCTCAGAAACTACTTCGTGATGTTTGCATTCAACACACAGAGTTGAACATACCTCTTCACAGAGCAGTTTTGAAAACCTCTTTCTGTAGAATCTGCAAGTGGATATTCGGACCACTTTGAGGCCTTCATAGGAAACAGTAATATCTTCGCATAAAAACTAGATAGAAGCATTGTCAGAAAGTACTTTGTGATGTGTGAATTCAACTCACAGAGTTGAACCTTCCTTTAATAGAGCAGTTTTGAAACACTCTTTTTCTAGAATCTGCAAGTAGATATTTGGAGCGCTTTGAGGCCTTCGTTGGAATCCGGAATATCTTCACATAAAACGTAGATAGAGGCATGCTCAGAAACTTTTTTGTCATATGTAGATTCAACTCACAGCGTTGAACCTTTCTTTTGATAGAGCAGTTTTGAAAAACTCTTTTATCGAATCTGCAAGTAGACATTTGGAGTGCTTTGAGGGCTCTGGTGCAAAAGGAAATGTCTTCCCATAGAAACTAGACTGAATCATTCTCAGCAACTTCTTGGTGACGATTGCATTCATCTCACAGTGTTGAACATACCTTTGCATAGAGTAGTTTCGAAACACTATTTTTGTAGAATCTGCAAGTGGACATTTGGACTGCTTTGAGGCCTTCATCGGAAACGGGAATATCTTCACATAAACACTAGACAGAAGCATTCTCAGAAACTTCTTTGTGATCTGTCCATTCACCTCACAGAGCTGAACTTTCCTTTTTATGGAGCAGTTTTGAAAAACTGTTTTTGGAGAATCTGCAAGTGGATATTTGGAGCGCTTTGAGGCTTATGGTAGAAAAAAAATATCTGCCCCTAAAAACCAGACAGAAGCATTCTGAGAAACTTCTTTGTGATGTTTGCCTTCAACTACCAGAGTTGAACCTTCCTTTTGATAGGGCAGTTTGGAAACACTCTTTTTGTAGAATCTGCATGTGGATATCTGGAGCGATTTGAGGCCTACGGTCCAAAAGGAAATATCTTCCTGGGAAAGATAGACGAAAGCATTCTCAGAAACTGCTTTGTGATATGTGCATTCGACTCACCGAGTTGAAACTTTTTTTTGATAGAGCAGTTTTGAAACACTCTGTAGAATCTGAAAGTGGATGTTTGGAGCTCTTTGAGGGCTATGGCGGAAAAGAAAATATATTCACATTAAACTAGACAGCAGCATTCTCAGAAACTTCTTTAGGATGTTTGCAGTAAACTCACAGAGTTGAACATACCTTTCCGTAGAGCAGTTTTGAAACACTTTGTTTGTGGGTTCCGCAAGTGGATATTTGGACCGCTTTGAGACCTTTGCTGGAAATGGGAATATCTTCACGTATAAACTAGACAGAAGCATTCTCAGAAACTTCTTCCTGATGTGTGCATTCTCCTCCCGAATTTGAATCTTCCTTTTCATGAAGCAGTTTTGAAACACTCTGTTTGTGCAATCCACAATTGGATAATTGGAACGCTTTGATGCCCATGGTAGAAAAGGAAATATCTTCATATAAAAACTAGACAGAAGGATTCACAGAAAATGCTTTGTGATGTGTGCATTGAAATCACGGAGTTGAATCTTTCTTTTGTTAGAGCAGTTTTGAAACACTGTTTCTGTGGAATCTGCCAGCGGACACTTGGAGCGCTTTGAGGGCTATGGTGGAGAAGGAAATATCTTCACATAAAAACTAGAAAGAAGCATTCTCAGAAACATTTATGTGAAGCGTGCATTCAACTCACAGAGTTGAACCTTCCTTTTGATACAACAGTTTTGAAACACCCTTTTGAACAATTGCGGGTGAATCTTTGGAGCGCTTTGAAGCCTTTGTTGGAAATGGGAATATCTTCACACACAAACTAGCCAGAAGCATTCTCAGAAACTTCTTTGTGATGTGTGCGTTGAACCCAGAGAGATGAACCTTTCCTTTGATAGAGCAGTTTTGAAACGTGTTTTTGTAAGATCGGCAAGCAGATAACTGGCTTAGCTTTGTGTCCTTTGGTGGAAACGGGAATATCTTCTAATAAAAACTAGACAGAAATATTCTCAGAATCTCCTTTGTGATGTGGGCATTCAACAAACACAATTGAACATTTCTTTTCACAGAGCAGTTTTGAAACACAGTTTTGGTAGAATCTGCCAGTGGATATTTGGAGCGCTTGGAGGGCTATTGTGCCAATGGAAATATCTGCCCCTGAAAACTAGACAGAGGAATTCTCAGAAACTACTTTGTGATGTTTGCATTCAACTCACAGAGTTGAACATACCTCTTCATAGAGCAGTTTTGAAAACCTCTTTTTGTAGAATCTGCAAGTGGATATTCGGACCACTTTGAGGCCTTCATAGGAAACAGTAATACCTTCACATAAAAATTAGATAGAAGCATTGTCAGAAAGTTCTTTGTGATGTGTGAATTCAACTCACAGAGTTGAACCTTCCTTTAATAGAGCAGTTTTGAAACACTTTTTTTCTGGAATCTGCAAGTAGATATTTGGAGCGCTTTGAGGCCTTCGTTGGAAACCGGAGTATCTTCACAGGAAAAGTAGATAGGGGCATTCTCAGAAACTTTTTTGTGATATGTAGATTCAACTCACAGCGTTGAACCTTTCTTTGGATGGAGCAGTTTTGAAAAACTCTTTTATCGAATCTGCAGGTAGACATTTGGGGTGCTTTTAGGGCTGTGGTGCAAAAGGAAATGTCTTCCCATAGAAACTAGACTGAAGCATTCTCAGCAACTTCTTTGTGACGTTTGCATTCATCTCACAGTGTTGAACATACCTTTCCATAGAGTAGTTTTGAAGCACTATTTGTGTAGAATCTGCAAGTGGATATTTGGACTGCTTTGAGGCCTTCATCGGAAACGGGAATATCTTCACATAAACACTAGACAGAAGCATTCTCAGAAACTTCTTTGTCATCTGTCCATTCAACTCATAGAGTTGAACCTTCCTTTTTATGGAGCAGTTTTGAAACACTCCTTTTGGAGAATCTGCAAGTGGATATTTGGAGCGCTTTGAGGCCAATGGTAGAAAAAGAAATATCTGCCTCTAAAAACCAGACAGAAGCATTCTGAGAAACTTCTTTGTGATGTTTGCCTTCAACTACCAGAGTTGAACCTTCCTTTTGATAAGGCAGTTTGGAAACACTCTTTTTGTAGAATCTGCATGTGGATATCTGGAGCGATTTGAGGCCTACGGTCCAAAAGGAAATATCTTCCTGGGAAAGATAGACGAAAGCATTCTCAGAAACTGCTTTGTGATATGTGCATTCGACTCACCGAGTTGAAACTTTTTTTGGATAGAGCAGTTTTGAAACACTCTGTAGAATCTGAAAGTGGATATTTGGAGCTCTTTGAGGGCTATGGCAGAAAAGAAAAGATATTCACATTAAACTAGACAGCAGCATTCTCAGAAACTTCTTTAGGATGTTTGCAGTAAACTCACAGAGTTGAACATACCTTTCCGTAGAGCAGTTTTGAAACACTCTGTTTGTGGGATCCGCAAGTGGATATTTGGACCGCTTTGAGACCTTTGCTGGAAATGGGAATATCTTCACATATAAACTAGACAGAAGCATTCTCAGAAACTTCTTCGTGATGTGTGCATTCTACTCCCGAATTTGAATCTTCCTTTTCATGAAGCAGTTTTGAAACACTCTGTTTGTGCAATCCACAATTGGATAATTGGAACGCTTTGATGCCCATGGTAGAAAAGGAAATATCCTCATATAAAAACCAGACAGAAGGATTCACAGAAAATGCTTTGTGATGTGTGCATTCAAATCACGGAGTTGAATCTTTCTTTTGTTAGAGCAGTTTTGAAACACGGTTTCTGTGGAATCTGCCAGCGGACACTTGGAGCGCTTTGAGGGCTATGGTGGAGAAGGAAATATCTTCCCATAAAAACTAGAAAGAAGCATTCTCAGAAACATTTATGTGAAGCCGTGCATTCAACTCACAGAGTTGAACCTTCCTTTTGATAGAACAGTTTTGAAACACTCTTTTGAACAATTGCAGGTGAATCTTTGGAGCGCTTTGAAGCCTTTGTTGGAATTGGGAATATCTTCACACACAAACTAGCCAGAAGCATTCTCAGAAACTTCTTTGTGATGTGTGCGTTGAACCCAGACAGATGAACCTTTCCTTTGATTAGAGCAGTTTTGAAACGTGTTTTTGTAAGATCTGCAAGCGGATAATTGGCTTCGCTTTGTGTCCTTTGGTGGAAACGGGAATATCTTCTAATAAAAAGTAGACAGAAATATTCTCAGAATCTCCTTTGTGATGTGGGCATTCAACTAACACAGTTGAACATTTCTTTTCACAGAGCAGTTTTGAAACACTCTTTTGGTAGAATCTGCCAGTGGATATTTGGAGCGCTTGGAGGGCTATTGTGCCAATGGAAATATCTGCCCCTGAAAACTAGACAGAAGCATTCTCAGAAACTACATTGTGATGTTTGCATTCGACTCACAGAGTTGAACATACCTCTTCATAGAGCAGTTTTGAAAACCTTTTTTGTAGAATCTGCAAGTGGATATTCGGACCACTTTGAGGCCTTCATAGGAAACAGTAATATCTTCACATAAAAACTAGATAGAAGCATTGTCAGGAAGTTCTTTGTGATGTGTGAATTCAACTCACAGAGTTGAACCTTCCTTTAATAGAGCAGTTTTGAAACACTCTTTTTCTAGAATCTGCAAGTAGATATTTGGAGCGCTTGGAGGACTTCGTTGGAAACCGGAATATCTTCACAGGAAATGTAGATAGAGGCATTCTCAGAAACTTTTTCGTGATATGTGGATTCAACTCACAGCGTTGAACCTTTCTTTTGATAGGGCAGTTTTGTAAAACTCTTTTATCGAATCTGTAAGTAGACATTTGGAGTGCTTTGAGGGCTGTGGTGCAAAAGGAAATGTCTTCCCATAGAAACTAGACTGAATCATTCTCAGCAACTTCTTGGTGACGTTTGCATTCATCTCACAGTGTTGAACATACCTTTGCATAGAGTAGTTTCGAAACACTATTTTTGTAGAATCTGCAAGTGGACATTTGGACTGCTTTGAGGCCTTCATCGGAAACGGGAATATCTTCAACATAAACACTAGACAGAAGCATTCTCAGAAACTTCTTTGTGATCTGTCCATTCAACTCACAGAGTTGAACCTTCCTTTTTCTGGAGCAGTTTTGAAACACTCTTTTTGGAGAATCTGCAAGTGGATATTTGGAGCGCTTTGAGGCCTATGGTAGAAAAAGAAATATCTGCCCCTAAACACCAGACAGAAGCATTCTGAGAAACTTCTTTGTGATGTTTGCATTCAACTACCAGAGTTGAACCTTCCTTTTGATAGGGCAGTTTGGAAACACTCTTTTTGTAGAATCTGCATGTGGATATCTGGAGCGATTTGAGGCCTACGGTCAAAAAGGGAAATATCTTCCTGGGAAAAATAGACGAAAGCATTCTCAGAAACTGCTTTGTTATATATGCATTCGACTCTCCGAGTTGAAACTTTTTTTTGATAGAGCAGTTTTGAAACACTCTGTAGAATCTGAAAGTGGATATTTGGAGCACTTTGAGGGCTATGGCGGAAAAGAAATTATATTCACATGAATCTAGACAGCAGCATTCTCAGAGACTTCTTTAGGATGTTTGCAGTAAACTCACAGAGTTGAACATACCTTTCCGTAAAGCAGTTTTGAAACCCTCTGTTTGTGGGATCTGCAAGTGGATATTTGGACCGCTTTGAGACCTTTGCTGGAAATGGGAATATCTTCACATATAAACTAGACAGAAGCATTCTCAGAAACTTCTTCGTGATGTGTGCATTCTCCTCCCGAATTTGAATCTTCCTTTTCATGAAGCAGTTTTGAAACACTCTGTTTGTGCAGTCCACAATTGGATAATTGGAACGCTTTGATGCCCATGGTAGAAAAGGAAATATCCTCATATAAAAACTAGACATAAGGATTCACAGAAAATGCTTTGTGATGTGTGCATTCAAATCACAGAGTTGAATCTTTCTTTTGTCAGAGCAGTTTTGAAACACTGTTACTGTGGAATCTGCCAGCGGACACTTGGAGCGCTTTGAGGGCTATGGTGGAGAAGGAAATATCTTCCCATAAAAACTAGAAAGAAGCATTCTCAGAAACATTTATGTGAAGCGTGCATTCAACTCACAGAGTTGAACCTTCCTTTTGATACAACAGTTTTGAAACACTCTTTGGAACAATTGCAGGTGAATCTTTGGAGCGCTTTGAAGCCTTTGTTGGAAATGGGAATATCTTCACACACAAACTAGCCAGAAGCATTCTCAGAAACTTCTTTGTGATGTGTGCGTTGAACCCAGAGAGATGAACCTTTCCTTTGATAGAGCAGTTTTGAAACGTGTTTTTGTAAGATCTGCAAGCGGATAGTTGGCTTCGCTTTGTGTACCTTTGGTGGAAACGGGAATATCTTCTAATAAAAACTAGACAGAAATATTCTCAGAATCTTCTTTGTGTTGTGGGCATTCAACTAACACAGTTGTACGTTTCTTTTCACAGAGCAGTTTTGAAACACTCTTTTGGTAGAATCTGCCAGTGGATATTTGGAGCGCTTTGAGGGCTATTGTGCCAATGGAAATATCTTCCCCTAAAAACTAGACAGAAGCATTCTCAGAAACTACTTCGTGATGTCTGCATTCAACACACAGAGTTGAACATACCTCTTCACAGAGCAGTTTTGAAAACCTCTTTCTGTAGAATCTGCAAGTGGATATTCGGACCACTTTGAGGCCTTCGTAGGAAACAGTAATATCTTCACATAAAAACTAGATAGAAGCATTGTCAGAAAGTTCTTTGTGATGTGTGAATTCAACTCACAGAGTTGAACCTTCCTTTAATAGAGCAGTTTTGAAACACTCTTTTTCTAGAATCTGCAAGTAGATATTTGGAGCGCTTTGAGGCCTTCGTTGGAAACCGGAATATCTTCACAGGAAAAGTAGATAGAGGCATTCTCAGAAACTTTTTTGTGATATGTAGATTCAACTCACAGCGTTGAACCTTTCTTTTGATAGAGCAGTTTTGAAAAACTCTTTTATCGAATCTGCATGTAGACATTTGGAGTGCTTTGAGGGCTGTGGTGCAAAAGGAAATGTCTTCCCATAGAAACTAGACTGAAGCATTCTCAGCAACTTCTTTATGACGTTTGCATTCATCTCACAGTGTTGAACATACCTTTCCATAGAGTAGTTTTGAAACACTATTTTTATAGAATCTGCAAGTGGATATTTGGACTGCTCTGAGGCCTTCATCGGAAACGGGAATATCTTCACATAAACACTAGACAGAAGCATTCTCAGGAAACTTCTTTGTGATCTGTCCATTCAACTCACAGAGTTGAACCTTCCTTTTTATGGAGCAGTTTTGAATCACTGTTTTTGGAGAATCTGCAAGTGGATATTTGGAGCGCTTTGAGGCCTATGGTAGAAAAAGAAATATCTGCTTCTAAAAACCAGACAGAAGCATTCTGAGAAACTTCTCTGTGATGTTTGCATTCAACTAGCAGAGTTGAACCTTCCTTTTGATAGGGCAGTTTGGAAACACTCTTTTTGTAGAATCTGCATGTGGATATCTGGAGCCGTTTGAGGCCTACGGTCAAAAAGGAAATATCTTCCTGGGAAAAATAGACGAAAGCATTCTCAGAAACTGCTTTGTGATATGTGCATTCGACTGACCGAGTTGAAACTTTTTTTTGATAGAGCAGTTTTGAAACACTCTGTAGAATCTGAAAGTGGATATTTGGAGCTCTTTGAGGGCTATGGCGGAAATGAAACTATATTCACATTAAAGTAGACAGCAGCATTCTCAGAAACTTCTTTAGGATGTTTGCAGTAAACTCACAGAGTTGAACCTACCTTTCCGTAGAGCAGTTTTGAAACACTCTGTTTGTGGGATATGCAAGTGGATATTTGGACAGCTTTGAGAACTTTGCTGGAAATGGGAATATCTTCACATATAAACTAGACAGAAGCATTCTCAGAAACTTCCTCGTGATGTGTGCATTCTACTCCCGAATTTGAATCTTCCTTTTCATGAAGCAATTTTGAAACACTCTGTTTGTGCGATCCACAATTGGATAATTGGAACGCTTTGATGCCCATGGTAGAAAAGGAAATATCCTCATATGAAAACTAGACAGAAGGATTCACAGAAAATGCTTTGTGATGTGTGCATTCAAATCACGGAGTTGAATCTTTCTTTTGTCAGAGCAGTTTTGAAACACTGTTTCTGTGGAATCTGCCAGCGGACACTTGGAGCGCTTTGAGGGCTGTGGTGGAGAAGGAAATATCTTCCCATAAAAACTAGAAAGAAGTATTCTCAGAAACATTTATGTGAAGCGTGCATTCAACTCACAGAGTTGAACCTTACTTTTGATACAACAGTTTTGAAACACTCTTTTGAACAATTGCAGGTGAATCTTTGGAGCGCTTTGAAGCCTTTGGTGGAAATGGGAATATCTTCACACACAAACTAGCCAGAAGCATTCTCAGAAACTTCTTTGTGATGTGTGCGTTGAACCCAGAGAGATGAACCTTTCCTTTGATAGAGCAGTTTTGAAACGTGTTTTTGTAAGATCTGCAAGCGGATAATTGGCTTCGCTTTGTGTCCTTTGTTGGAAACGGGAATATCTTCCAATAAAAACTAGACAGAAATATTCTCAGAATCTCCTTTGTGATGTGGGCATTCAACTAACACAGTTGAACATTTCTTTTCACAGAGCAGTTTTGAAACACTCTTTTGGTAGAATCTGCCAGTGGATATTTGGAGCGCTTGGAGGGCTATTGTGCCAATGGAAAGATCTGCCCCTGAAAACTAGACAGAAGCATTCTCAGAAACTACTTCGTGATGTCTGCATTCAACACACAGAGTTGAACATACCTCTTCACAGAGCAGTTTTGAAAACCTCTTTCTGTAGAATCTGCAAGTGGATATTCGGACCACTTTGAGGCCTTCATAGGAAAGAGTAATATCTTCACATAAAAACTAGATAGAAGCATTGTCAGAAAATTCTTTGTGATGTGTGAATTCAACTCACAGAGTTGAACCTTCCTTCAATAGAGCAGTTGTGAAACACTCTTTTTCTAGAATCTGCAAGTAGATATTTGGAGCGCTTTGAGGCCTTCGTTGGAATCCGGAATATCTTCACAGGAAAAGTAGATAGAGGCATTTTCAGAAACTTTTTTGTGATATGTAGATTCAACTCACAGCGTTGAACCTTTCTTTGGATGGAGCAGTTTTGAAAAACCCTTTTATCGAATCTGCAGGTAGACATTTGGGGTGCTTTGAGGGCTGTGGTGCAAAAGGTAATGTCTTCCCATAGAAACTAGACTGAAGCATTCTCAGCAACTTCTTTGTGACGTTTGCATTCATCTCACAGTGTTGAACATACCTTTGCATAGAGTAGTTTTGAAACACTATTTTTGTAGAATCTGCAAGTGGATATTTGGACTGCTTTGAGGCCTTCATCGGAAACGGGAATATCTTCACATAAACACTGGACAGAAGCAATCTCAGAAACTTCTTTGTGATCTGTCCATTCAACTCACAGAGTTGAACCTTCCTTTTTATGGAGCAGTTTTGAAACACTGTTCTTGGAGAATCTGCAAGTGGATATTTGGAGCGCTTTGAGGCCTGTGGTAGAAAAAGAAATATCTGCCTCTAAAAACTAGACAGAAGCATTCTGAGAAACTTCTTTGTGATGTTTGCATTCAACTATCAGAGTTGAACCTTCCTTTTGATAGGGCAGTTTGGAAACACTCTTTTTGTAGAATCTGCATGTGGATATCTGGAGCGGTTTGAGGCCTACGGTCAAAAAGGAAATATCTTCCTGGGAAAAATAGACGAAAGCATTCTCAGAAACTGCTTTGTGATATGTGCATTCGACTCTCCGAGTTGAAACTTTTTTTGGATAAAGCAGTTTTGAAACACTCTGTAGAATCTGAAAGTGGATATTTGGAGCTCTTTGAGGGCTATGGCGGAAAAGAAAAGATATTCACATTAAACTAGACAGCAGCATTCCCAGAAACTTCTTTAGGATGTTTGCAGTAAACTCACAGAGTTGAACATACCTTTCCGTAGAGCAGCTTTGAAACACTCTGTGTGTGGGATCCGCAAGTGGATATTTGGACCGCTTTGAGACCTTTGCTGGAAACGGGAATATCTTCACATATAAACTGGACAGAAGCATTCTCAGAAACTTCTTCGTGACGTGTGCATTGTACTCCCAAATTTGAATCTTGCTTCTCATGGAGTAGTTTTGAAACACTCTGTTTGTGCAATCTACAATTGGAGAATTGGAAGGCTTGGTTGCCCGTGGTAGAAAAGGAAATATCCTCATATAAAAACTGGACAGAAGGATTCACAGAAAATGCTTTGTGATGTGTGCATTCAAATCACGGAGTTGAATCTTTCTTTTGTTAGAGCAGTTTTGAAACACGGTTTCTGTGGAATCTGCCAGAGGACACTTGGAGCGCTTTGAGGGCTATGGTGGAGAAGGAAATATCTTCCCATAAAAACTGGAAAGAAGCATTCTCAGAAACATTTATGTGAAGCGTGCATTCAACTCACAGAGTTGAACCTTCCTTTGGATACAACAGTTTTGAAACACTCTTTTGAACAATTGCAGGTGAATCTTTGGAGCGCTTTGAAGCCTTTGTTGGAAATGGGAATATCTTCACACACAAACTAGCCAGAAGCATTCTCAGAAACTTCTTTGTGATGTGTGCGTTGAACCCAGAGAGATGAACCTTTCCTTTGATAGAGCAGTTTTGAAACGTGTTTTTGTAAGATCGGCAAGCGGATATTTGGCTTCGCTTTGTGTCCTTTGGTGGAAACGGGAATATCTTCTAATAAAAACTAGACAGAGATATTCTCAGAAACTTCTTTGTGATGTGGGTATTCAACTAACACAGTCGAACATTTCTTTTCACAGAGCAGTTTTGAAACACTCTTTTGGTCGAATCTGCCAGTGGATATTTGGAGCGCTTTGAGGGCTATTGTGCCAATGGAAATATCTGCCCCTAAAAACTAGACAGAAGCATTCTCAGAAACTACTTCGTGATGTTTGCATTCAACACACAGAGTTGAACATACCTCTTCACAGAGCAGTTTTGAAAACCTCTTTCTGTAGAATCTGCAAGTGGATATTCGGACCACTTTGAGGCCTTCATAGGAAACAGTAATATCTTCACATAAAAACTAGATAGAAGCATTGTCAGAAAGTTCTTTGTGATGTGTGAATTCAACTCACAGAGTTGAACCTTCCTTTAATAGAGCAGTTTTGAAACACTCTTTTTCTAGAATCTGCCAGTAGATATTTGGAGCGCTTTGAGGCCTTCTTTGGAAACCGGAATATCTTCACATAAAAAGTAGATAGAGGCATTCTCAGAAACTTTTTTGTGATATGTAGATTCAACTCACAGCGTTGAACCTTTCTTTGGATGGAGCAGTTTAGAAAAACTCTTTTATTGAATCTGCAGGTAGACATTTGGGGTGCTTTGAGGGCTGTGGTGCAAAAGGAAATGTCTTCCCATAGAAACTAGACTGAAGCATTCTCAGCAACTTCTTTGTGACGTTTGCATTCATCTCACAGTGTTGAACATACCTTTCCATAGAGTAGTTTTGAAACACTGTTTGTGTAGAATCGGCAAGTGGATATTTGGACTGCTTTGAGGCCTTCATCGGAAACGGGAATATCTTCACATAAACACTAGAGAGAAGCATTCTCAGAAACTTCTTTGTGATCTGTCCATTCAACTCACAGAGATGACCTTCCTTTTTATGGAGCAGTTTTGAATCACTGTTTTTGGAGAATCTGCAAGTGGATATTTGGAGCGCTTTGAGGCCTATGGTAGAAAAAGAAATATCTGCCTCTAAAAACCAGACAGAAGCATTCCGAGAAACTTCTCTGTGATGTTTGCATTCAAGTAGCAGAGTTGAACCTTCCTTTTGATAGGGTAGTTTGGAAACACTCTTTTTGTAGAATCTGCATGTGGATATCTGGAGCGGTTTGAGGCCTACGGTCAAAAAGGAAATATCTTCCTGGGAAAAATAGACGAAAACATTCTCAGAAACTGCTTTGTGATATGTGCATTCGACTCACCGAGTTGAAACTTTTTTTGGATAGAGCAGTTTTGAAACACTCTGTAGAATCTGAAAGTGGATATTTGGAGCTCTTTGAGGGCTATGGCGGAAAAGAAAATATATTCACATTAAACTAGACAGCAGCATTCTCAGAAACTTCTTTAGGATGTTTGCAGTAAACTCACAGAGTTGAACATACCTTTCCGTAGAGCAGTTTTGAAACACTCTGTTTGTGGGATCCGCAAGGGGATATTTGGACCGCTTTGAGACCTTTGCTGGAAATGGGAATATCTTCACATATAAACTAGACAGAAACATTCTCAGAAACTTCTTCGTGATGTGTGCATTCTCCTCCCGAATTTGAATCTTCCTTTTCATGAAGCAGTTTTGAAACACTCTGTTTGTGCAATCCACAATTGGATAATTGGAACGCTTTGATGCCCATGGTAGAAAAGGAAATATCCTCATATAAAAACTAGACAGAAGGATTGACAGAAAATGCTTTGTGATGTGTGCATTCAAATCACGGAGTTGAATCTTTCTTTTGTTAGAGCAGTTTTGAAACACTGTTTCTGTGGAATCTGCCAGCGGACACTTGGAGCGCTTTGAGGGCTGTGGTGGAGAAGGAAATATCTTCCCAAAAAAACTAGAAAGAAGCATTCTCAGAAACATTTATATGAAGCGTGCATTCAACTCACAGAGTTGAACCTTCCTTTTGATACAACAGTTTTGAAACACTCTTTTGAACAATTGCAGGTGAATCTTTGGAGCGCTTTGAAGCCTTTGTTGGAAATGGGAATATCTTCACACACAAACTAGCCAGAAATATTCTCAGAATCTTCTTTGTGATGTGGGCATTCAACTAACACAGTTGAACATTTCTTTTCACAGAGCAGTTTTGAAACACTCTTTTGGTAGAATCTGCCAGTGGATATTTGGAGCGCTTTGAGGGCTATTGTGCCAATGCAAATATCTGCCCCTAAAAACTAGACAGA